>NC_000012.12:75641946-75793461 GCF_000001405.40 Homo sapiens
GAGAGTTGTCATGTATCAATGTTGGATAATAAATTATCCATAATCTTGTTAAGCATTTCCAAAAGGCAAAATAATTATAGTAAAGGTAATTTATATTTTCATAACCATTGTTAACTTCTCTTTAGGTACTATTCAGTGGTTACTCTCTGGTATAAACTGAGATTTAGAAATAAAAAAAGAAAACAGTTATTTAACAAATTTTTTGTACTACAATGTATTATCTAAATATGTGTGTGTGTGTGTGTGTGTGTGTGTGTGTGTGTGTGTGTCCAAGAGCTTATTACTATGGTAAAAATTAAAATATAAGTTTGATTTTATAACACCCATAATAAAAATATCTATCAGGAAGGACAGCTATAAGAAAAAGAAGGAAAATAAGCAAGTTAATAAGGAGGCAAACCAACTTTCTAATTGAGGAACAATTTATCACATGGTTTCATGCAGCTTACATTCTGACTAATTGATCATAATTTTATCAACCACGAGGTTAACAAGTAAAATATTCCTGGAATAGAAATAGACATGCTCTTACTCATCTCCCACAGCAGTTTCTTTAATGACATCTAAGAAAACAGCACAGTTCTAAAAACAATAATTACAGTCCATTTTAAAAAATTAGTTGAAATTACTTAGGTAAGGCTGTCTCATTTTAGAACAAAAACTAACTATGTAGTTTTTATATCAAGTTGGTTTAAAGCCCAAGACAAAACAAAGCAAAAATAATATGAACAAAGCCTCAAAAGAAGTTATAGGAGATCTATGGGAAAATCTATACTTCCCCGCTCAACTTTGAAGCTTGAATGTCCTATCAACCTGACATTTAATGACTTGTTTTGAGAACAGAATAATAATTTGTGACCCTTATTCCTAAGCAAGACATGCTAAAGATTACTGCATCTTGAGATGTACGAATTTCTGTATATTCAATCTCAGGAGACTCTATAACTCCACCATCCAAGATTAGCAACTAATTGCCACTAGTGACATGTGGCTATTTAGCCCTTGAAGATTGGCTAGTCCAAATTGAGACTGGCTGTAAGAATAAAATACACACAGATTTTGAATATTTAGTTTGGAGGGGAAAAACTCATTAATAAGTTTTATATTGATTATATGCTGAAATAATATAAATTATATTATTTTCACATGATAGTTAAAATACATTAACAACATAATTCATCTGTTTTCTAACTTTTTAAAAAATACGGCACCATGAAAATTTAAAACTTTACACATTACATGTCTATTGGATAACACTGTTCTGTAACATATGAAAATTCCACAGTTTTGTTTCAGAGATTCCATCATCACTTATGGAATCATGTCTTACTAAGCTATTTAAAGAATATCCCTTTGGCCAGGCGCAGTGCCTCATGACTGTAATCCCAACACTTTGGGAGGTCGAGGTGGGCGGATCATTTGAGATAAGGAGTTTGAGAACAGCCTGGCCAACATGGGGAAACCCCATCTCTACTGAAAATACAAAAATTAGCCTGGCATGGTGGTGGGTACCTGTAATCCCAGCTACTCAGGAGACTGAGGCAGGAGAATCGCTTGAACCCAGGAGGCAGAGGTTGCAGTGAGCTGAGACTGCACCACTGCACTCCAGCCTGGGCAACAGAGCAAGACTCTGTCTCGAAAAAGTAAAAATAAATAATAAAGTATATTCCTTTGTTGAAGGGTCTAAGACTGTGCCCTTGTCTACACATGGGCTAATACAATTATTCCTGCAGAGGATCTGGTGGTTTTTACTATCAGCCACAACATTGTTCTCAGAGCTCTGGAATGGAGTAGAAATGGCAAAGACCCTCCCTCCAGGGGCTATAGTAGATGCCCCAGATATTCTTGCAGAGGCTAAACTGAAAGCTATGGTAGTCCTTTTAGTTTATGTGCCCTAACATGAATCAAAATACCATCTCAGGGCCCAGTATGGTTTCAACACATAGTTTCCCATCTTCAGATACAAAACTGATAACAATGATATAAGAATTATTTTTAATAGGGAATTTAATGTTTAACTATTTGACTCATTTCTCTCTTTGGTATCCAGAAATTTTTATTTCATGGCATTTAATACAGTCAACTTTGGGTCAGGCCCATAGAGGAAAGTCATTCACAATTTGGGGGAGATCCCCAAATACAAGGACATAGTGTTTGAAATTAAAGACCCAGGGATGGTTGACACCAAGGCATGGGCACAAAATCGAGAAACAGTGGCAGATAACAGTTTAAAAATACCAGTGTTTAGTTTATATGATAATTTATATCACAAATAATGGGAAAGCCTGAGCAGGCTGTCATGAGATTGCAGTCTCTCCCTGTTGCTCTTGTGGAATTTTCTTTCCAAAGAGGCATGAGACGCCTTCACTCTACACTAATGTAGATGATTATCCCACAGGCTAGAACGCCCATTTGCCATTTCTCACCTCTGTGCAAGATTCCCTAATTTTCTTGATCCCAGTGGTAACCTGGGCAAGGTCTTTGGTAGGATCAAGAGGAGCAGCAAAGAGAGGAAGCTGAAAAGGGAGAGAGAAAGTTACCGCTGAAAAAGAAACACTTGAGCTGTCACTATTGAAATTCATTTTTCTGTTTCTTCTTTGTGTGAAAAAAGCAGGAAGACTGAGAAAAGAAGATATTTTTGTGACTTCTGTAATAAAATAATTTCCCAGTCAGGCTCTCACACTCCTCAACCCATCAGATATGTGCCTTTCAGGTGTTTACCCAGGGGAAAAATGGAAGGAAATGAGAGAATCAAATTATGACTAAAACTTACTTCAGTTTTTGATATTTTGATTTAGTTCTTTTAATGTAGCATTTTATTTTTACTCTGCTTTTTTTTTTTTTAAAGACCTTTGAACAGAAAAACAGGTTACTATCTTAGATTTTTAATGCTGATTGAAAACATAGCTGTTTGGAACAAAAAGTCATGCATAACTGAAATGGGCATTTGTTATACTTGCCATTCTGCCTCGATTTTCACCTTTTGTCAACAATATTCTGATTTCCTCTGGGTAAGCCACCCCTCATCCATTCTCAATCTCTGTGGTTTAGACGGGACTGACCACACCCCAAACTCCCAGGACTGGGCATATAATTGAATATTGTCAGTCTTGCTGCTTCAGAGACATGCATGTTCAGAGCTAATGAGAATGAAAATTGATATTTTTTTTCCTAATTGTTGGGAAACTTTATTTTCTACCAGAGTTGTTGAGGTTAGATGAATGTCTAAAACCGTCTTCCACCTATTAGAGATGAACTTACCTAAGAATGGGGCCAATTGGTCTAACAGATAGAGCACTGACAGCCCCTTGAGGCACCGAATTCATTCCAAAACCACCTTTACCTCTGGTGATTTTAGGAATGTGAATCCATAAATCACCTGGACCAGTCAGGGTTCAACTTTTTATCATTTGCAGTTGAAAACATCCCAACAGACTCAATTATTAAGACATCTATAGTGATCTTTCTGCAGTACATTCAAGTCATCACCAAAGGATCTAGGAAGAAAAGCTCTTCTAAGTGCTGCTATTGTAAATCCACATGCCCAAATTATATGAATATTTGGAAAAGAAAGTAAAGTCCCCAGGCATTTAGAATAAAATCTAACCATAAAGCAAAATGTGTCCAGTTTTGCTCCTTTAGCTATTAGAATGCCGGAGCATTAGAATGCCAGAGATTATTGAATGCCCCAAATAAATGCATTCAATACGTTGTTATTCAAGAAACTCCAGTCATGTATATTAGAGGCTTTCAACTTGTTAAGCCATGAGGTACTTTATTCAAAATAAATTTGTATGAAAGCCTAACATTTGAAAACATATAAAAATAGGATTTGTGGCATGGGAAGACATGGGTGGTGGGCATCGAACCCTGCCCAATGTTCTTTTCTTAGAAGACTCACCCCCCTTCCCCAAGATCTCCTTGGACACTAGCTCCACAGGTAACAGTGTAAAATAAACAGATCTAAATAATCCTAACTGATTGACCATTTGTAGTTCCGTCATAAACACATTACAACATTTCAGATCTAATGGCTTTCTAAAGAGCTTCTGTGCTTGTCCCCCAAACCAGCAATCTACTGTCAGCTTCAAGCCCCAAAGAATTTAGGGTACATCTAAAATAAAATCTAGTGAAAGAGCTCTCAATGAAAATTAAAATATCATTATATTCAGAATTGTGAATGTTGGAGATGCTATGTAAGTATCTCTCATGATAGATTTTTATTATGGTATTTTTTGAAAGTTCAAGATGGAATACCAAATGCAATATGCCAGAAGTTGCTAGGAAAAAAAAATAAGCCAGAAGTCTTTTGAAACTTTTCGCAAGCCTTGGCTTTAAGTATCAGGGAGATTATGAATTAGAGAATTCAAAGTGAGAATAATAAGGAAACTTTCATATTATAACAGGAACATGGAGCCAATGTTTAATTAACCACCCCTAAAGGAGGAAAAGAGACAACTTAAATAAAGCAAAAGAAAAATCTCAAATCACTTGCATTTGACTTTAGAATACTCTCTGACACAAATTCTCCACAATCAGTCAGGCTCCATCCTATCTCAGTAGCCTGGGAACAGCTTGGGAGTGTGAAGGTGAGGCCTTGAGGTCATTATAGAAGGCCATTAGGGGGTAAATAGAGAGTTGACCATTTGCGTTGAGGTTAATTCTTACAATTATAGAGAAGAGGGCTTAGATAGCTATGTTTATTTTCCGTATCTCTCTTCCCAGCTTCATATAACCCAGTCAATATCTCCCTCCCCCACTGCAATCTCTTTCCTTTATGTCATTTCTACTTGTGGTGCCCTTGTCACCACCCCCTCTTTTCCCACTGAGCTATTTTAGCTATGAGAATCAGAGTAGCCGGCATGGTCAGAGCAGTTAAAGAAGGATGAATGATCCTATTTATGCCAAATTAAAGAAGCCCTCCAGAAGTGCTTCCAGAGAGTACATACTCCTCGCATTGTCTGTTACCCTAAGGATTCTCTCTTGACTACATGGACCTTCAACCAACTAGCCTACATAATTTTTTCTCCCCCTGCCTCCTAGCACTAAAATATTTGCTAACACATAGGAAATAGAATCATAGCAATAAATGTTAGATAATGTGTAGATAGTAAAAAGGAAACTAACATGAAATTAACATCCATGGATTCACAATATGGGCTCCTATTAATCAAACACTTCATCTAATAATAAAAAGTTTTTGCATTACTTCTAACTCTTTGGTCTGCTGACACAAATGTGAACTTTAAATGCCCCCAAATCAAGTGAAAATTTTGCTTGTTAAGCAAGTTCAGTATCATTTGTACACATTTCTTGAACAGATGGTTAATAACAGTTAATTATCACTTAATATTTACTACAAAGCCAGAATATACAGAATATAAAGGGAATATATAAATGTTATATATATATATATATATATATATATAAAGGGAACATCCACTCCAAGGAACAAAAATAAGCCTATGCAAAGCAGAGAATGGCACAAAGCTTTCAGTTCAACATTCAATCAATAGTACTAATTGAGCATCTACTATAAGCTATTCATTGCACTAAGCACTGAGATCTTGAACAACAGGAACAAAGATCTCTGTGTGAGGCATATGAGGCTATAATTCCTTGGTAGTCCAGTTTTGGAATTGTGTTGCACTTAAATCAATAGAATTTGTGACCTTTTCTTCTATAGCTCACAGAAATTCGTGACTGATCTTGGGAAATTTTCATCAAGCTTCTTGGTCCCTTGCTATATTCAGGCACCCTGAACGTGTGAGATACCAGGAGTATCTCACATTTTGCCCCAGTAGAAACCTTTCTCATTTGTCTTGCTCTGTCCCTAATATCTTGGCTCTTGATTGCCTTCTCCTCCATTCTACACAGCCTATCACAACAGGCTTCACTTGTTGATAATTTTTATCGTGTTATATGTGTAATATATCTTGTCTTCAGGGATCTAATTTAGTAGAGAAGTAAGAAATATAAATAATATTTTTATATTGACATATTGTGATGTGTCAGAATAGAGATAGGCACAAGTTCTCATGTAATTATGAGAGAAAAATTCTTATTGAGCTGGGAGAGGAGGAGGTTGGGACAGGGACAGGATTCGCAGGGCTTTGAGCAGAAGAAATGCCCTCTCTTGGGGTGAAAATGTTGATGGTGCCAGCGAGCCCTCTTGAAGAAACCTAGGTAAAACTTAGGAAAGACCAAAGCTTTTGCCTCCAATTACAAAAAACATTCAGTTTTATCGAACCTTTTTTTCCTGGAAAAATGTTCTAACAAGTAATTGACAGTATTTGATAATTGCTGTACATGTAGTTCCCCTGAGTTTTATTTCACTGGCATCCATTAAGGTAGTGATTTCTCCACTTGCTGGCATCTCCACCAGTTCCCCCACAAATATTAGCAAAAACATGTATTCCTATTAGAGAAAACTCCCCACCACACACACATACAAAAAAACCCAAAAAGTCATAAAATTGTAATGTCAAAAATCATGAACTAATGAATTATATAAGGAATAGCAGCAAAATAAAAGATGAATATAAAAGCTAAATTTATAAGTCTTCAAGCATTATTTAAGCTAATTTTTCTAGATTTTTATAGTCTTTTCTTGCTTAATATGTTTGGGGAGAAAAAATAAATATGTATAAACAAACAAACTCTGGGGGCCTGTTTTTATTCTTAAAGCCAGATCCTAAAAGCTCTGAAGTTTGACCCAAACGTGGCTGGGGATCCAGAAGTATACAGAGTGAGTGATTTATCACAAGGAGTGGTTTGCTTCAAAGGGTACCAAAAACAGAAATTCAAGGTGTAGATTATAATGTAATTTTCAAGATTATTTAAAAATGCCTTCCCTCAAATGGAGCAACATAGTTATCTAATTAATTCAGATGAATAAATATTATCCTTTAATTCATATCTCATTAGCCTGACACAAGCTGGAACACATTGTTCTTTATCATACAACATACATTTCTTGCTATAAAATGATAAATTTTAGGAAATAAGGTGTATAATGGAAGACCAATTGCTCCAGAAGAGATGTGCATAACTTGTAATCTTGTAAATTAATTCTGCCCGGGCTGCATTCCAGTTTTCCAGAAGAACAATGATTAACAAAGGAAAGCCCACCCAATGGCATAAAAGACGGCATGAATACTGCTGCACAATTCCCTCTAGGCACACTCAGAAAATTTTCAGGATCCTACATGAAATCTTTTTTTCTAAATAGTAATTTCATTAAAATACGTGCTGCAACTGAAGTTGTGAGTGAGAAAAAGTGCAGTGAAGGAACAAGGCAAGAAAATGGAGTTTTAGAAACTACACAGTAAACGACTGCTGATAAATGTAAGCATTCTGGTACAATTAAGGGTAGTTTTGTGTGCAGAAAAGATTATTCGAGATACTTTATTAATAACCTTTTATTAAAGTTACAGATGCTGAAATTGAATTCTTCCTTGAGCTTTTATGTTCAACTTCTTATTCTAATTTAAAAATCTAGCAAATATTTACAACTGCTTGTTATGGGGATTGGAATAATACTGGTTGGTTTCCACTTATAACCTTGGTAACTTAAATACTTTCAATATGACAAACGTTGTTTATAAATTTAATACATTGTATTTTCCTTTTAAGTTAAAATTTCTGATTGACAGGCTCTTCCATAATACTTAAGAAACTCAGATAAATCAAATTAACTTTATATGGTGAAATTAGAATTATTTTAATATTCTAGTGCTATATATAACCTCAGAAATATTCACCAAAATCTATTATTCTGTTATATATTTGAAATTGATATATGTAATACTAATTATGCATAAATTCTAAACATAATATGAATACTATGGTTCTGATTCCTTTAAGCATTTTTATACTAATTTTTATACTAATTCTAAATATTCCCATAGTTAAATGCTACTTTTCTCTGGGGAGACAATTGCATTCTTTGTCAATTAGGTTACTTTTCACTAGCAATTTTACTGGGAATGAGATCTGTAACTTTAGACATTGAGAGCAATTCTCATCGCCTGCTATTTAAGTAGTTATTATTTTAGAAACACCTTAGCATGCTTGAGACTACCCAAAGGCTAGAGACTTTGACCAAATCTAACTTTTAACTTAGAAAAATTCATAAGCTACACTTCTTAATGCATATACCTCCATGGTCCAAAGCATCAATGAAATCTTTACAATCCCCTAGACAGCCCTATGTAATCTGGTTCCCCCATTTCTACCTATTTCCTCTCTTATCCATAAAACTCCTACTTACCCTCTTCCTTATTCACTCTACTCCATCCACACCAGTTTTCTTGCTACCTCTAGTCCTTGCCCAATGTGTTCCTGCCTCAGGGCCTTTGCACTGGCTCTTCCCTCCACTTGGAATACTCATTCTCTCAGGTGAATTCATGCCAATGACCTTCAGGTTTTTACTCAGACATAACTTTCTCCAAAAGGCCTATTCCAACCATGCTATTTGAAACTGCAACCCTGCCCTCTCTCTCCACCCCTGTCACTATTCCCTATTCTTCTCCCACTCAATTTATTTTTTCCATATCACTCAACAGCATCTGACATGCTATACATTTTAATTATTTACGTACTTATTGCCTATTTCTCCCAAAGCTCCATGAGGGACAAGATTCTTTTCTTTTTTGTTCAGTGCTGAATCCTGATAGTTAAAAAGTTCTCAAAAAAATATCTGTTGAATGAATGAGTAAATGGAGCAAAAAAGCTAACTTCTGGGTGCCACAGAAAGAGAGTCCATGTTATTGTTGACATCCTTGTAAAGAATGCAAAGTTGTCTGAGCACTTCAGCAATGGTTTCTGCAAGCAATGTGCAAATTTGGAGACAGCCTTCCCTGTTCTTCTGAGCAGGCCTGGGATGACCTCTGCCTGTTTTCAACCATTATTGATGGTAATTATTCATGTTTGAAATTAACATTACATTTCTTGAAAAATGTCCCTTAATTAGAATTTTCACTGTTTCAAACTAGCCTTATCCCTTAATTAGTCCAAAGTGGTAACTGAAGTTTATGTCCCAGCTCAATTCATTCTCCTTCTTTACCTTAATCTCCTGTTTTCTCATTTGTCCCATTAACCATAAATGGGGCTGAGAGAGGCACAAATTGTTTTCTCATGATGAAAGGTCTGAATCGACTAATTAGGTCAGTCAATTCCCAGAGTGCAAAGGCTAAATTTTCTTGCTTGGATATGCACCACATATCTGCAAACCACAGCACAGTTAGTTATCAAATATTCTGCAAATGTTCCCATGCGGAGCTCCCTCTGAGGGTGATCAGGGAGGCTTGGAACAGATCAGAAAGAATTTTGTCCACATGTTTATCATGCAGGAGGGAACTCTGTGAGGGAAAACTATTCTTCAACTTCTTTTATCACTATTAATATAGAAACAAAGCAAAAGAAGAGCGGACTGTGCTGTTCTCCCTGTTCTGAGTATCTGGACATGGGCTTTATCTTTTTTATGGAAAGTACAGGGTTGTGGGGTGAGGGGTGGAACCACTTACCATTCATCTTCCTGTATTGATATTCATTATGTAGGAGTAAGAACATCTTGCCCTGACTTGTATTACCCCAGGCAACAAAACCAATTAAACTCCCTTAATGGACAATTCCTAAATGTCCTATATATGGAGCCAACTTGGCACTTCCCCCACTGTGTTATGAGCTTAGTGAAAAGTCCCACAGAAGTATGATGCTGGGGCTAAAAATGTCCAATGGCACTAGCGATGAAAAAGTCAGACAGAATCTTGGGGTTCTCAAGTCCATGTTTCCCTTGAATTTCTTTACTTAAGCCAAAAGGGAAACATGTAATATCTGATTGTCTGTGGATGCTATATTTGACATGAGGAAGATTTCCATTCTCATAGGAAGAAATAAACCAAAGAAAGAGTTATGACCTTGTGGCTTACTCATTCTACAGGGGGAATTATCCAAGGTATTTAAAAAAATAGGGCCCCTGTTTTTTAAAACCAAACCCTAAGATATTTTTAGAAACCTTGAAGATTGCTTGCCATAAAAAGCTATCATCATTAAAAAAGCAGGAGATTTTCTAGCTCGTAAAACACGAAAGTTTGGCTTTATATCTGAACAGACTAACTCTTATTTTAGAAAAACCACTTAAATAGACCCATTAGTTTTATTGATGTAAATAAAATATACATCCATAGCTTAAAGAAAAACTTTCAGGTAGTTACGTAACTAAATGCAGATATTGAAAGTCAATCAGATACTGCATATCATCACTCTTCCATCTGCTGTATACTTTTGTATATTGTGGTTCAGGGTTTTAGCTGTCTCTTAGTTTTATTAAAGATGGAATTTCTACTTTTCTTGATCATTTTTCTTGTTGTTTTAGCGCAATTTATGAGAGGATGATGTGGCAAAATGATTTGAAAATTGGAAGTGATTTACTGCACAACTTAAATATTTTGTCTTATCATTACAGCAACTCTATAAGGTGAGTACACTGGGAAGGATAAATTTTATTAAAATAAATAGAAGGAAAGACGAAGTTTTGCCTTCTTGGGGAGAGGCATGGCTCAGCTCTGTTTAGATAAAAAATGATCTTGGACCTTGGACATTTTGATGGAAAAAGGTTGGGCTTGCTGGGCACCATTTGAAGGACTGTGGCTAAATACAGAGGGTACTACATTTTTCTACATGCTACATGTTGTGAGGGATTTTGAATCTTACTGGGAAGCATGGAAGAAAAGGGACTCATGGTCCAAGAACTGAAAAGAAAGGTGTGGGAAGAGGAAAGATGAGAAGAAAGAACAGAAGGGAGATGGGAGAAGAATGGAGGAAGAGAAAGACAAACAGAAGGAGTGAGTGTGAAAGAAGAAGGGCTGTGTTGTTTATGAGCAGCATATCAATAGGTAGGAACTGGAAAGAAAGTTGGCCACAAGAAGTTCCCCATGGCAGCAGGGGATGGTAGGCTCTAGGACAGAGCAGTCCCATCCTGAGGTTTAAGGTGTGTGCTAGGCTGGGCGGCATACCTACTTCTCTGCTCCCACAATCACCTCCTCCACTACTTTACAGTGAAGATGCTGTTTGCTTGCTCTCTAAAGCCAACCCTTCCATCTGCTCTGCTATTGCAGTAATTTTAGTGCTGACTATTCCTCCTTTTTGTGTATTTAACATTTCCCATTTGGGTCCTTTCTATTAACTTTCAAATAGGAGCTAAGCAATTTGGGAGGCCAAGGCAGGCAGATCATGAGGTCAGGAGATTGAGAACATCCTGGCTAATACGGTGAAACCCCATCTCTACTAAAAATACAAAAAATTAGCCAGGCATGGTGGTACGCACCTGTAGTCCCAGCTACTCAGAGGCTGAGGCAGGAGAATCACTTGAACCTGGGAGATGGAGGTTGCACTGAGCCAAGATCATGCCACTGCACCCCAGCCTGGGTGACAGAGTGATACTTCATCTCAAAAAACAAAAAACACTCCAATCTTTAAAAAGTTCCTTCAACTTCACTCTTTCCCTGCCATCCCTTTATCTTCCTCCTCTCCTTCATAGTTAAGGATCTCAAAAGCACTATGTTATTTTTTCTTTTTCCATGTTCTCCCTACACATTCATCTCACAACTTACTTCAATCTGACTTTCATCTCCACCACACCATCAAAAACAGCCCTGGCTATGTAGGCTATTAATGACCTGAAGACGCTAAATCCAATAGGAATTATTCAGGGCTCACTTTATTTATTTGACCCTCAAGCATTTGGCTTATTGATCAGCTCCTCCTTGAATTCTCTCCCTGCTTGGCTCTCGTGCAGCTATCCCATCTCAAATTGCCTCCAGTCTTTCCTGTCTCTTTTGCAGGCTCATCCTCCTCACCAGGCCCAACCGTACCACATTCCTACTTTCTCTCTGAGGTACATCATACTAGTCTCTTTTTAGTTCCCACCCTCCCTGTCACAAAACTTTTCACGTGCTATTCCTGTAGATAGCTTTCATGTTAGTTATCACTTCTTTGAGGAAGCCATTTCTTAAGTGCCAAATAAGTCAATTCTTACTATTATTTTTATTGCACCATGTATCTCCCCTTTATAACAACTCTGGATGCTTCATCTGCATCAGCTGAGGTTTTATACATATTTTCAGTAACTATTGGGTTAATAATATCTGCATCAGCCAATGACTCTACACTTTGTGATGGTAAGGATCATGTTTGTTTGCTTTGTTTTGTTTTTGGATTGTGAAGCGCTTACATTTATTGTCTGCTCATTGCCTGGCACAGAATGATCCTCAATACATATTTGTTAGATAATTTTCCCCAAACTTTTATAAGCACCCTTTCTAGTGATTTTTTGTTAGCAGTGAGGGGCAGAATGGGAGAAAGAGGACAGCCCTGCAAACTGGAGGGATAATTAGAGCTTGGAGAGTTAGAAGGAAAAGTTTCAAGCATAGGAAGAGTCAGACAAACACCACTCCCTTCAGGCACTCACATAAATGTGAGGAGGGGGCACAAGTCACCTCCCTTAGCCACTAAGATCAAAGATAATCCCAGATTGCTGGAGACTCGGGGACACCTAGACAGCATATCCTGTTTGCAAAGGTGTTATTATTACAATCTCATGGAGAAAAAAACGAATTGTCAGACACTAGATGAAGTCAGACTTCATTTGTGGGCCCAAAACCTGACAGCCCAGCAGAAGCAGCAGGGCCTGGTAAATGCTAGACCACAGTTTCCAAAACACACAGATTCTAGTTCACGAAACACACAGATTCTAATTCAGTTGGTCTGGGGAAGAGGTCAGGGGTCTACATTCTAAAAACAACCCATCCCAACACACCCCTATTCAGTTATAATATATCTCCAGATTTGGGAATTACTAGACCAAATAACTCTTAAGGTATTTTTCACTCCTGAATTTCTGTGAATCTCTAAAAATAGAATTTTTTTCAATAGAGGCTATATGAACTTCCGCTCAGGTCATGGATTATTTATTCTTTTGTTCAATAAGCATTTGATGCAAACTTTTTATTGATGAGGCACTGAGCTGCCTTTAAACACATGTGCTCCTTAGGAGTAAAGTGGGGTTGATTTGACAGAATTGTCTCTGCCCTTAATGAAGTTACAATACAATACAGTTAAAGAAATTAGATGTCCAAGAAATAATTTGGGACACATAGGGCATTATATGAACTAAAATTTCAGTTATCTTTCCATCAACATTGCCAAGCACCCTGAAAAGTCCCAAAACCACAAATAAGTTGGGTTATTCTTGACCTTTTGTGCCTTCCCCATAGCACCCCTTGTGAGATGTAACCCCTTTTTCTTCTACAGCTCTTATATGCTTTTATATCTCTATATTGTAACTCTTTGCACAAACTGCTTCTTCATCCTCAATATGTATCAAGTACATGTGTTCTGCATACAGTAGGGGTTTAAGAGTTTCAAATGAGTCAGTGGCCGACCAGAAGGGAAATGGTTTTTCAAAGTGGTTTTTGCTTTGAAAGAGGCATCTATAAGGCAATGAGGACAGAAAAGGAAATAGAAAAATGAAGCTGAGAAAAGAAAGATGCAAAGATGAAAAGTAGGGATGGTGAGGGGTGGCACAGAGATAAACTGCGGTGGTGTGGTATAAAAGCAGGAACCACATTGGTACCAGAGAGGTGGAGTTCACTGGCAAAAAGAGAAGATAAAAGACAAAAGGCTAGGGGTGGCCTTTGCCTTGGTCTTCAGAGATCTTCAATGATCTTCAATGATCTCTGAAGACCAAGTCAGAGGCCTCCCCTAGCAAGTGTTGGAAGCGAAAAGTGGAAGAGGAACTGACTCTTGTATTTTAAACTCGATCCCCCAGCCCTCCAGGAGATCCAGGTAGTGGGCAGGGAGTTATCAGAGTCATGTCATAGAGAAGTCTAAGAAACCCAGATAAGGAGATGAGGGATGAGTGTCACCAGGAAGCAGATCCCTGTATGAGAATCAGTATGTGGCAACAGAAATCAAACCACTTTCAACTAGACCCAAACTTAATGTAAAGACACATCTTCTAATATATCCCAACAGGGCTGAAATTAATCCTAGAGATGGAGAGTTTTGAACCTGCAGGGTAGGATAGGCAAATGATTACACTTGACTAACTAAATGGACCTTGAGGTTGACTTGCCAACACCCAGACCCACTATCTTACCTACGTTTTTGTCCATGGAGGCAAACCAAGAGGACAGGGGATGCTGACTCCAGGCTGGCTCCACACATAAAGCATGCTCTTAGGGCCTAAAAAATCAGAGTATTTTTACCATCTGGCCCAAGACAAATATTTGGGCTGCAAGGCAGGAGGGAGCATTTGCCTGAGGTTTTGGGTCAAATAGTAACAGGTTTTTCAGGCAGTGGGTGTAGACCTGGGAGTTGTTGGCAGCCATGTTGGGACAAAAGCATAGCAGCTTTGGCACAAAGCTGCATCACTCACCACTGAGTATCAGAGAAAAGGACAGAAACCAAGTCCTTGGTGATGCAATTTTGTGACTGGATCAAACCAATCCTGACACCTATACACTTCTGAATTTCCAGTTATGTGAGCCAACAAATCTTCTTTATGGCATAAGCCAGTTTAATTTGTGTTTTCTGATATGGTAACTGGATGCATTCTAACTGAGACAACCTTCAAAGTGATCAGGTAGGTGTTCATGGAGAACAGAACCTGGCAAAACATGCTGGAGAAACCAGGGAAGTCAAAGATCAGAGAAGGCTGGTGTAGCCAATGAAAACTACACAAGTATCTTGAGAAGTGTCTCTGAAGAAAAGGTAGATGTGGCAGATGAGGAAGAGAGTAGGCCTTGCCATCTGCAAGAAGGGTGTGACCCACCACACAGGAATGGGCTAGGACCAGCTGAGCATGGCCCTTCCCTTCCCTTGTCTGACAGTTATGGAAAGGAATTCTTTCATTTCCTGGTGAGCAGCAGCTCTACCCATTGCATCAGCTTGCTGTGCTCGCCTGGTGTCTGCTCCTTAATCAGACATGGGAGCCAGGGCAAGTGAATGCCAAGTTGTGAAAATAGAAGAACAGGTAAATGGAAGTTCTCTCCAATTTGCATCTGGAGTAACACAGGGGTGATAGATGTGAGAAAGCCAAATTGCTAGGTAATGTACACATCAGGCATAGCTTGCTGCAGTATGATATGGTCATGAACAACTTTCTTTGAGAAATTTGCCTCGACTATCAAATGTGGTTTTCTTTTCCTTTAATGTTCTATAATTAGTTAATAAAAATGTCTGTAATCCAAATTAATATCCATAATGTACCAATCAAAATCAGAGATGTATGATATACTCAGACTGGAGATGCTGCTCTTCCACAATTCTACAAACAGGCATTTGCCCCAGGTCCTCGGTGGCTCCACAAGCCCCTTGTGTGAACATGAAACAGCCCATAGAGCAGAAAGAAAGGCAAAAATAAGACTCAGTGGGTCGGGCACAGTGGCTCATGCCCGTAATCCCAGCACTTTGGGAGGCCAAGGCAGGTGGATCACTTGAGGTCAGGAGTTCAACACCAGCCTGGCCAAAATGGTGAAACCCCACCCCTGAAAAAAAATTAGCTGGGCATGGTAGCGCATGCCTGTAATCTCAACTATTTGGGAGGGTGGGGCAGGAGAATAGCTTGAACCTGGGAGGCAGAGGTTGCAGTGAGCCAAGATTGCATCACTGCACGCCGGCCTGGGCGACAGAGTGATACTTTGTCTCAAAGTAAGTAAGAAAGAAAGTAAATAAATAAATAAATAAATAAATAAATGAGACTCAATGAAAATCTAGAATTTAAATGGTAAATTTCTTAGAAGTGAGCCCCTCTTGATTCCCCTCTGGTTTTCAAAAGGAAATCCTCATTCATAAAATGTCTGAAAATGACTTTCATAATTGAAGCTGTGACTCTTAGTTTGGGGCCCTAGCATGCCAGCAATTCAGTCAGATTATCTGAAATAATGATTTATCATTGCAGATAGTCCAGCAATAATTTCAGATACCACAGCCTCTGCTGACACTTTTCAGATGTTTTCCTTATGATAAATTTATCTGTTTTTACTTTTTTCATTAAATGTATCTGCTCTGGTGTCTTTGTTCCTTCTTCCATTAGTCTGGAAATCCTTGTGCAAGCCTGAGCCATAAGCTATCCCTCCATCTCTTGAAGAACACAGTAATGGAGTAAGAATTCATAAGTGTATGCCTCAGAATCCTCAGATATCTGGGACCTGGGAGTCTCAAAATCGAGGCTATGCAGAGCTGGATAAAATAAAACTAGAATCAGGGTCCCCTGAGTCGTGGAAACTACTCCAGTATCCAAATGTATCTGAGCCTCTTTGCACATCCAGGGAAGACTAAAAGTATTTTCCAGCCTATGAAATCAATTTCTTACAAAGATAAAAGGAAATTATTGTTGGTCTTTTTACTTTATGACCTACCTCTTTGTAATAAGAATTGAGGCAAATTTGTCATCAAATGCTCTTTGCAGAGAGGTAGGATGTCATAATGGAGGGAGCCCAGGCCCTGAGGTTAGACATAAATGGAGATGAATACAAGTTCCCTCACTGATCAGCTCTATGCCTTCTGGCAAGTTACTTAATCTCTCTGACCCTTGCTCTCCTTTGCTATAAAAAGGGGTTATTGATACCTGCATTTTGGGCATGTTATATGGATTAGGAATAATCTATTAAAAATGCATAGCATAGTGGCTGGTACAAAGTAGACATTCAACAAATTACAGTTATTATCATCATTTTCAAAGTAAATTAGTTTAAACATTTAGGAATCGGTTTATGCTTCCAGATGACTACATAAACCTGAGAGATTTTTTTTTTTTTTTTGCCCCATATAAATTTTCTGTAATTGTATACACTGGCTGTGAATCCAGTTATGAATCGAGAATAATATATTTAAAGTAATCTTATTCCAGATTAAAAATAAATTCTAATGGTTTGCCTCAAAAAGAGAAACAATCAAGCTTCCCATTAAGACAAATTCAGTAACCACAAAAGCATGCAGAGCTAGACAAAAGAAGATAGTACTATTCTTTCCACGAGTGTGTGACTCATTTTCAACTCAAAGATGGTGCACAGGAAACAAACGCTCATTTACCCACTAGGCTGCTCGGAGCCTGCAGGGATACAGACAACACCCCACTCATATTTTGCACATTCAGGCAAAATGTTATGTCCTTCCTCACTGGATTCAGTCCCATTTTTGCAGGTGTAACTTTTATAAGCAAGACTGAAAAGAAAAAAGAAAAAAACATGTCATTTGGGAGTGCATTCAAAGCCCATTAAGATGACACATTCACTCGTATTTCTCTTTAACCTTCAGGCCACAGGACAGCCTCCCAACCCAGCTAAAGAATCAAGGGCGGAAGGCCAAAATCATCTGAAAACAAATATGATACTTCAAAAATGTCTGAAAAGGACAGGTGTGCTTTTCAAGAAGGCTTTCCCTCAGTGGCTTTACCTTTTGTGTGCGGCCCGGATGTAGCTGATAAACCAAGGCTTTCTGACTTTGCAGCTTGATAGATATAATTTTCATAGTATATGGAAAGATAATGCACCCAATGTATTGGACAGTTGTCCCTGTGTTATCAAGCAGTGTGTTCTCTTATTTCACTAACAAATGTCCAGACAAACACACATTGTGGCAAATGCAAGGAAATCACTAGCCTGTGTTTGAAACTTAAGCCTCCCCGTTCTTTAGAGTATAGCAGTATTCAGGCAATAGGGATGCATGGTACGAGCATTACCCTTTCTCTCTCTCCAGACTCCAGAACATGACAATAGCTGATATGTTTCAGTGCATGAATAATTCTGATTCCAGCTAGACAATTGTTGTGAAGGAATTGTCCTTATAATATTTGTCTCATAAAAATATGTATATTTTATTATAAAACAAGAATGTTCAAATGGACATCCACATTTTGGCCCCAAATCCTCCCCTTTTGTGCATCTTATGCAAAGTACATGTCAATAAGTATTTATCAAATGAATGTTAAAAGCATGAAAGAATGTTTTATGGGGATTTTGATGTCTTTCTAGTGAGATACTGTTTTTCATTTAATCATAACTCATTTTTTTTGAGATGAGAAAATTTAGACTCAAAGTCATGATAAGCCACCAACATCATAAAGAGCAGACTCAGGAACTGAACTGTATTCTCTGCCTGTCCCTTCATGCAATTTCTTTCTCCTTTCTACAGAAAAATCCCCCCTTCCTGCTATTTCCACCCCTGAAATATTTATAGGCTGATGTCCTCTTTAGTCATCACTGAGCTAAGCTGCAATCTTTTAATCATTTCTCAGAAGTCATTTTCTCTATCGGCTTAATCATTTCATTTACTTCTGACTCCACCCAAAGTGCTTACGTCCCTTAAACATGAGGTTCCAGAACTGAAACATAGTCCTTCAAGGAACCAGAGAGAAGCCAGGCAACATCAATCAAGCCCCTTGATGATGGAACGTGTCCTCACATGTGACTCAATAGACGTTTTGCTGTGGGACTCTAATTCTGTCTTGCCTTATAGGCAAGATGCAATCTTTATCAGAGCTCCAGGGGTAATGCTGTGTCACACAAAAATGTGCACTGCTTTTGATATCAGGCACACCTGGGTTCAAATCTTGGCTTCCCGATTTACTACTTACGTAACCTAAGGCAAGTTATTAAGCGTCTCTAAATCTTGGTTTCTTTGTCAGAGACAAGTTGGGAGGAATACTAGCTACATCATAGGAGTCTTGTGAGAACTAAATCACTTAATATATGTAAATGGCCTGTATATACTATACCTAGCACACATTACATACAGCACATTTACTAACCTCTAAATCTAGTGTTAAATCAATTTCTTTCTCTCTCACCGCACTCCATTCAATTTACCAGGAATTCTGTCCACCTTTCTTTCAGTTTTTCTGAACGTATCCATTTCTTCCCATTGATATGAGTCACAAATAGATCAGCTGCCACCTGATCAGACCCACCATCATTTCTAACCAGACCATTGCCATAGCCTCCTGACTCATTCCCCTGCTTTCATCCTTGCCTTTTATAATCCTTTCTCTACACTGTAGCGATGTCATCTTTCTAAAAGATTACTTGGACCAGTCCACTTGCCTGCATAAAACATGGCATAGGGTTCCCACTACACTTAAAAACAAATCCAAAATTCTTGCCATGGACTACAGGACCTCAAGTGATCTTTCCCTGCTTGTATCTCTGAAGTTATCCTTCTCCCCTCTTCTATCACTTACTCTACTTTTAGCCATATATGGCTTTTGGTTTCTTGAGCTCACTAAGCTTATTCTGGTGCCAGAAACTTTGCCCTTTCCATTCCCTGAGACTTAGATGTTCTTCCCCAAGATCTTTACATGATTGGTTCCTTCTCACCATTTCAGTCTAAGACCAGAGGTCACCTCCTCCAAGAGGTCTCCCTTGGTCACCAAATCTCACGTTGTCTCTCCCTGATAACCTAACACTGACACTTTCTAGCACATTACTTTGTCTTACTTTCTTTATATCACTTTATCACTATCTGAAATTACCATCTTTATTTATTTGTTTGTTTATTTCCAGAATGTTTTTCTCTCTCAACAGAATGCCAGCCCTATGAAAGAAGGAACCTTGTCTACTTTGCATCTCTCAATATTGTTACCTCCTAAAATTGTGCCTGGCATGAAGTAGACACTCAATAAATATTTGACAAATGGATAAATTGGTTTGGAAGAACTGGGCTCTATCATACTTTTCATAAGTATGAAAAGCATTTGACAAGATAATGAAATCTTAAGGTATTCTCACATAAATTTAATATCTCAGCCCTAAATTTTGCATAGCCAGGAAATTCTGTAGCATTATAAAATGGTTCAGAACACAGAGCATGTTTTAATCCTAGCTTTGCCACTTCCTTTCTGTGTGACCTTGGATAAGTCAGCTGACGTATTAAAACTGGTTTTCTTGTCTAAAAATATAAAGATAATAACATACAATATTAGAGGGTTTTGTGAGGATTAAAAGAGCTAAGTCTATAGCACAGTTCCTGGAACATTGTGTGCAGTCAATAAATGGTGGTTATTATTATTACGGTTATTGTTCTTACAGTAATTAATTCTGGCACCATATTTTACAAAGAACTTTGACAAATTGGAGCCCATCCAGAGGAGAACAAACAATCTTGTGAAGGGTCTGGAAACCACAACTTGTAAGGAATGATGGAAAGAGCTGAGGATGTTTACCTTGGAAGAGACACATTTTAAGAGGAACATGATAGCTTTTTTAAAAACACTGAAAAGAACTGTCTGGTGGAAGACAGATTTGATTTATTCAATGTTACTCTGGAGTATACATTTAAAGCCAAAGAGTAAAAGTTAAATCTTAAATTCTTTATGATCTAATAACCAAACTTTCCCAAACCAAAATAGTATTGAATTCTACTTATAATAGTAAAAACTTTTAAGTCATGTTTGCATAAATTTTTATTAGGGAAATTATATCGTATATGAAGCCACTTGCAATTACCACTGTATTCGTCCATTTTCACACTGCTAATACAGACATACCCAAGCCTGGGCAATTTACAAAGGAAAGAGGTTTAATGGAGAACTCACAGTTCCACGTGGCTGAGAAAGCCTCACAATCATGGCAGAAGGTGAAAGGCATGTCTCACATGATGGCAAGCAAGAGAAGAAGGCTTCTGCAGAAAAACTCCCCTTTTTAAAACCATCAGATCTCATGAGACTTATTCACTATCACAAGAATAGCACAGGAAAGACCTGCTCCCAGGATTCAATTACCCCCTACTGGGTTCCTCCCACAAGATGAGATTTGGGGTGGGGACAAAGCCAAACCATATCAACCATATTAAGACTTTGTATCAATATGAAAAGTATGTGTGGGATGTCAATTGCAAAAAAGCAGACTATGAAATATGTGCATAAGCAGACTATGAAATATAGGCACTCTATAGAGAGAAACAGAAACAAAGAGAGAGAGAATATAAACACAAACACATGCAAATAAAATGTGTTACTTCAAGAGGTGATGAGTTTCCTGTCCCTCCAAAGGTTAAAGCAGAGACCAGACAACCTCTTAGAAGAAACAGCATGTGAGAAGTGATATTACAGACAAAGCATTGGGCAGGGTGAACACTGAAACGATTTCAAAGCTCCTTGGGTCTATGATCTGATGAATATTGTTGAATTGTGGGCACAAAACTGTGCTTTTTAAAATAGTAAAGATGACATTAAGCCTCTCAAATATTTTCATTTCCTCCCAATTAAAACAGGCAAAAAAAATCTAGTACCAAGAGACCCAAGTTCTGGGCTCCATGATCTACTAGGGCATTGTGGCATCAAGACCCACAAAGTGGACATTTCTGGCCATTATTTCTCTTCTGCTCCAGCAAAAGCCTGTCAACCTCTCTGAACCTCATTTTCTGGATCCTTTCCCAAAAAGAAGGAAGTTGCATGCTTTCTATTTCTAAGAATCTATGCTTCATCTTGATTATTTTCTTTCATAAATCTGAGCTTGGCCAGAAATTAGAAGCCACCTGAACTTTGTAAATAAGGAATTTCCAAGAACACTAACAAGGGAATAACTGTAGGAGAATTTTGGTCCCCAAATCAGGGATGGTCCTTTTTCCACATAAGTTTCAAAAAGTAATAAATAATTCCTATTATAATTAAATGGGTGAAAAGTTTAGAACTCTAAGAGACAAGCATCCAAAAGTAGGGTTTTCCTAGAAAGTCTCTTTATATTTTATGTAAGATGACATTAAGTCATCACCTGCATTGCTTTCTTGGCTTTTGATGATAAAGGAGCTCTCCTCTGTTGTTGTTAAACTTCCAGGCAAGTTTTCGGGCTATCTTCATCCTAGAAGGGCCAATAGACAGAAGATTGCCATTTTCAAGCATTGAACACACAATTGGATCCTTCCTTGACGTCAACTTACCTCCCATTTTATATCTCGGATGATTTCCAGTGGTGACAAAAACATGTATATTTCCTTTCCCACTTAGGGAACTATGAGGTGTGCTTTGACTAGCCAATAGAGATATTACAAAATAGCAAACCCATAAAACTTCTAGAGACTTCACGAATCCTGTAAGAACAGCCTCATTCTCTTCGAATCCTTGGTTATAATTCACATAGATTATCTTGTGGGAATAGAACAAAGTAAGCCTTGCTGTGCCATGCTCTTCTTGTGAAGAGTTCTCTGACTCCTATATTTCAGATGAAGGAATCATTGTAACATGACAATGGTCAGGGAGTGCCCTGCTCCCATGCCCAGAATTGACCTACCATCCTCAAACCAATAAGCTCAAGCCCAGATGATTACCACCTACATGGAAGGTAACTTTTTTTTCAGAAAATAGAAATTTGTTAATATTTTTATAATTGAGATGAAATTCACATAACAAAAATCAACCATTATAAACTGAACAATTCAGACCGATTTATTACATTCACGTGTTGTATAATCATGACCTCTATATAGTTGCAAAACATCTTCGTTACCTCGAAATACAACCCTGGACCCATTGTGCAGTTCCTCCATTCTCCCCTCTCTCCAGTCCCTGGCAAATGTTTGTTTTCAGTCTCTATAGATGTACCTATTCTGGATATTTTATATAAATAAAATCATGTAACATGTGACCTTTTCATTCTAGAAAGATAGCCTTTTAATCATTCCCAAGTTTACTTTAGGAAGGTGTCACGTTTGTGTAAGGAAATACATAATCATATGAATTAACTTATCTAAACAAGAATTTATTGAGACCTAGCATTTGCAAAACATCTAGTGTTTTAGGAGCACAAAAAAGACCTATTAATTATCCTTGTACTCAAAGAAGCTACAGTTTAGAAAGTGGGTAGCAGAGAAAAAAGATCGAGAGCCAAATCCAAGAGGCCACTATTTTTTAGCAATCAAAAGAAGCCTGGCTTATAAGGGAAGCTTGGAGCTTTGAGGTCCTCCATAACTCACATCAATACTAGTTAGGATTCGTGGTTGCAAGTTCCAGAAATATAACTGAATTAGTTTAAAACAAAAAGGGGAAATACCAGGTGTGGTGGCTTATGCCTGTATTCCCAGCACTTTGGGAGGCTGAGGCGGGTGGATCACCTGAGGTCGGGAGTTTGAGATCAGCTTGACCAACATGCACAAAGCCTGTCTCTGTTAAAAATACAAAATTAGCCAGGCATGGTGACACATGCCTGTAATCTCAGCTACTTGCGAGGCTGAGGCAGGAGAATCGCTTGAACCCAGGAGTCAGAGGTTGCAGTGAGCCAAGATCATGTCATTGCACTCCAGCCTGGGCAACAAGAGCAAAACTCCATCTCAAAAAAAAAAAAAAATGTGGGAAGGAATATATTATGGAAAAGCAGGGGTGGCTCACAATGCGTGGTAGTAGAAACGGAGCCCAAACTCAAAGGAGAAGCTTAGGAATTTCCCTTTCTCATCTTGATTGCTATCTTAGTCCATTCAGGCTGCTATGACAAAATACCACAGACTGGGTGGCTTATAAACAACAGTAATTTATTTCTCACAGTTCTGGAGGTTAAGAATCCCAGGTCAAGGCATTGCAGATTTGATGTCTGGTGAGCACTCCCTTTTTCATAGATAGCTGTAATTTCACATGGGGTAAGGGACAAGGGGTTTCTCTGGGGTCCCTTTTATAAGGGCACTTATCCCATTAGGGAGGGCTCCACTGTAATGACATAATCATATCCCAGAGGCCCCACCTTCAAATAACATCATCTTGAGGTTACGATTTTAACATATGAATTTTAGGAGGACATAAACATTCAGTCCATTGCAGCTCCTCTATATATTTAAACGTCAATTCATTCTTTGCTCTCTGTTCACGTGGTGGACAAAAGACAGTGATCCCACAGTTTCCAAGTTTATATCTCCTTTCTTCAAAAGAGGCACTATTACATGAGGCTAAGAACAGGCTCCAGAGTCAGACAGAGGTGAGTTTAAATCCTAATTCTACCATCTACAGGCTGTGTGACACTGGGAAAGTCATTTAACCTCTTGGGCCTCAGTTTCCTCTTCAATAATAATACTGATTTCATAAGGTTCTTAAAAATTTAGTTGGAAAACACATATAAAGATCAATGTTCACCACATAAATCTTCAACAAATATTAATTATTTAATATTATGATTAAAGAGGCCATCCCTAAATGAGTGAGTCTTGATAACAAATCCAGATTTCAAAAAAGAGACTCTGATTGATCCAACTTGGGCCAAGTGCTTCCCTCTCCTCTATCAGTAACAGCCAGAGGGTAGAGTCACAGCTGAGAAAGATGGCTAGCACAGACATTCCTGTGGTAGAGACTCAGGAGCCTGTCTGCAACTGAACCCAGGAGAGAAGATACCAGAATCAGAGAGAAGAGGTGCGGAGTGAAAGTCAGGCCCCTAACCTGCTGAGGGGACAGCTGCCCGTGGATCCCAGGCCACAGAAGAAAAAACTTATTTGCGGCTTTTGGGCCTTAGCTAAAGAGACTCTCTCAGTTGATCTTTGGAACTTGTGCTACTGATTTTTAATTTAGTCAATATTGACTAGTTAACCTCCTGGACTTTGAAATCATTGTTTACTCTCTTTTCTATCACTTTAGCTTGTTTGGATTATTCTTTTATTCTCTCTGACCTTTAGTTTCAGATTTTCCTTTATCTTAGTTGTTCTTACCTCATGGTTTGCTTGCTGCCTTCTGCTTTTTTTTTTTTTTTTTTTTTTTTTTTTGGTGGCAGGGAGGGGTTGGGTTCATTTATGTAACCTAGTTTCTTGTATCATTTTATCTTTATTTAACTGTTCTTTTTTATTGTTTTATTGCTACTTTTAAACCTTTTTATTATCTACAATTTTTAGTTTTCTGAAATTCTACCAGTGAAAAGTGAAGAGGAAGGAGTTCAGCTGACAGGATGACCCCTTTGACCCCAAAAGACGGATCGGGGCTCATTTCCATTTCAACCATCCTGTAGGGGCCCCCAGACCCTGATGCTGATCTACAGAAATCTCACAGAAACTCTGCATAATTTAGTTTAGAAAGGTGTTTACAGATCCCCTCGGTTAAGGATTACACATCAGGCTGCTTCTCACCATACTTTGTTTCTGCTTTTCTAGGATAAAGTGCCTCCCTTCAGCAGATTGAGTAGGCGGTGAGTCCTATTCTGGAGAAAAAAGGTTTGTAGCTCTGCCAAAGAATCAGTGAAACAGGATGCAGCATTCCAGATGAAAGAGGCCTTCTCATCACTGTGGAGCTGCAGAGCTCAGCCCTAGGACCTTCTCTTCTCTGTCTTCATTCAGTTATTGATTTCTTAGGTACTATCCACATACTGATGACTCCCAAATCTATATTTTCAGAACACAACCTCTCTCCTGAACTCTATAGTGCTAACCTCCCACTTGACATCTCAATTTCAATGTTCAATAGGCATCTCAAACTTAGCATATCCAAAACTAAATTACTGATCTTTCCCCCTGCTGAACCAGCTCCTCCCAAAGTCTTTCCCATCTCAGATAATAGTAACATCATCTTTCTCTTACAGCCCATATCCAATCAGTCAACAAATTCTATTGGTTCTACTTCAAACCTTGATCACCTCTAACCTGGAATAGTGCAGTAGCTTACTTACTGGTCTCTCTGCTTATATCCCTGCCTCCTACAGTCTACTTATTATACAACAGCTGCAGTGATCCTTTAGAAATATTTATCAGACTGTATTATTCTGCTGAGAACTTTCAATGGTTCCTCATCAGCTGGTTTCCTCGTTCCTCCAACACAATCACGCTCCCTCTATAAAGCCTTTGTATTTGTTCTTCTCTCTTTCTGGAACGCTCTTCTATCAGATATTCACATAGCTTAATCTCTCACTTCTTCAGGTTCATGCTCAAATACCAGTTCATCATCCTGTACAAAATATTAATAGTACCCACTTCATCATTTTATCCCCTTCCTCACTTTATTTTTCTTTATAGTACTTATCACTATCTGCCATACTTGCTTATTATCAGTCTCCCCTAACTAAAATATTAGGTTGGTGCAAAGTAATTGCAGTTTTTCCCACTACTTTCCATGGCAAGAACCACAGTTACCTCTGCACCAACCTAATACAAGCTCCAATAGAAGAAAAGTTACTTTTTTCAATTTTTTTCTTGCTGTATCTCTAATGTCTGTGTCTGTAATGGCATTAGAAAATACTCAATAATTGTTTGAATACACTAAATAATTAAATAAGTGATTTTAATCCTGGTATTATAGTTCAAGCAGCATTTTTTTTTTTTTTTTTTGAGATGGAGTTTCACTCTTGTTGCCCAGGCTGGAGTGCAATGGCACAATCTTGGCTCAATGCAACCTCCGCCTCTTGGGTTCAAGTGATTCTCCCCACTCAGCCTCCTAAGTAGCTGGGACTACAGGCATGCGCCACCATACCTGGCTAATTTTTGTATTTTTAGTAGAGACGGGATTTCGCCATGTTGGTCAGGCTGGTCTTGAACTCCTGACCTCAGGTGATCCACCCACCTTGGCCTCCCAAAGGGCGGAGATTACAAGTGTGAGCCACCATGCCCGGACCTCAAGCAGCATTTTCAAACAGTTTATATAAAAAGAGGGTGCTAAGATGCGGGGAAAAGAAAATTTAAAAAGAAGGTGACAACTGCATCAATCCTTGAATGAACTACCATTGTATGCAGGCACTGTGCCAGATGTCTCTTGTGGGTTATTTCTTTTAATCTTAAATGTTATAAGATAATTGACAATATTGGTTCAGATCTAGTAGATTCTTTGAAACTTATCACTCATTATCTATTATCTTTTCACTCAAGCTGTAGTATTATTCATTGTCAAGAGACATAGACTTTAGAAAATAAACTTGCTGACCAGGAGGGGTGGCTCATGCCTGTAATCCCAACACTTTAGGAGGCTAAGGTGGGTGGATCATTTGAGGTCAGGAGTGTGAGACCAGCCTGGCCAACAAGGTGAAACCCCGTCTCTACTGAAAATACAAAAAAATTAGCCGGGCGTGGTGGCGCATGCTATAATCCCAGCTACTCAGGAGGCTGAGGCACGAGAATTCCTTAAACCCAGGAGGTGGAGGTTGCAGTGAGCCGAGATCCTGCCACTACACTCCAGCCTTGGTGACAGAGTGAGACTCTGTCTCAAAAAAAAAAAAAAAAAGAAAGAAAGAAAGAAAGAAATGTGCTAATCTTAATGTTGTATGCTTTTCCTCCTGCTATAAGGAAAGCAATTATGGCAGGTAAAGGCAAGCTGACCATATTTATCCTAAAGAATTCAAAATAAAATCTAATTCATGAAAAAGGGTACAAAGTATTATGGATAATACAATCAAAGGAGAAATTAACCTCAACATGTACAATCAAGGAAGATCTTACTAGAAGCTAGCACTTGATCTAAGCCTCAAATAATTGACATGCTTTGTAAACTCAGAAGTTTGATACAAGGCAAGTTACAGTGTAAGGAAAGACAAAGAACTCTTAAAAAGCATGGTATGCAAGAAACCTTGTAAGGCAGTCCCCACTGATCTCCACCTCCTCACATTTACGTAGTTGTGTAATATTCTCCACTTGAATATGAGTAGGACCTATGACTTACTCCTAGCCAACAGAATATGGCAAAGGTAGGTGGGATGTCGCTTCCATAATTAGGTTACATGATTGTGACTTCTGTCTTTTTATTTACTTATTTATTTTGAGACAGAGTCTTGCTCTGTCGCCTAGGCTGGTTGCAGTGGCTCAATCTAGGCTCACTGCAACCTCTGCCTCCTGGGTTCAAGCAATTCTCCTGTCTCAGCCTCCTGAGGAGCTGGGATTACAGGCACCCGCCACCCCGCCTGGCTAATTTATATATATATATATATATATATATATATATATATATATATATATATATATATTTTTTTTTTTTTTTTAGACGAAGTCTCGCTCTGTCGTCCAGGCTGGAGTGTAGTGCCGCGATCTCGGCTCACTGCAAGCTCCGCCTCCCGGATTCACACCATTCTCCTGCCTCAGCCTCCCGAGTAGCTGGGACTACAGGCGCCTGCCATCACGCCTGGCTAATTTTTTTTTGTATTTTTAGTAGAGATAGGGTTTCACCGTGTTAGCCAGGATGGTCTCGATCTCCTGACCTCATGATCCGCCCGCCTCAGCCTCCCAAAGTGCTGGGATTACAGGCATGAGCCACCGTGCCCGGCCTAATTTTTATATTTTTAGTAGAGACGGGGGTTTCACAATATTGGTCAGGCTGATCTCGAACTCCTGACCTCAGATAATCCACCTGCCTCGGCCTCTGAAAGTGCTGGGATTACAGGTGTGATCCACCGCACCTGGCCAAGTCTGTTAGCAGACTCCCTATTGCTTTCTGGCCAAGTCTGTCAGCAGACTCCCTATTGCTTTCTGGCCAAGTCTGTTAGCAGACTCCCTATTGCTTTCTCAGCATGTATGCTTTGATGAAAAAAGCTGTGATTTTGGAAAAGCCCATGTGTCAAGAAACGGAGACAGTCTCTAGCCAATAGACAGCAAGGAACTCAGGCCCTCAGTCTAACAGCCTTTCACACTCAAGCCTTCTGATGAGAGCTCAGTTCTCACCAACACATTGATTCCAGCCTTACGAGGGACTCTATCTCAGAGAATCCAGCTAAGTCGTGCCAGTATTCCTGATCCACAGAAACAGCGAGATAATAAATGTGTGTTGTTTTAAGCCGCTAAATTTTGTCATAATTTGTTACAAAGCAAGAAATAATTACTTTAATTTAGGACCAATGATACATTTGCATTTTCCCCAAAATCTTTTTTGTAACAAACCTTTTAATTTGTAGTTCAAGCATTTATTTAGTAAATATTTATTAAGAGTCTGTTTTTTGTAATTATTGTTGTTATAGTAAATATAAAGGCTGGGACTATCAATCAGAGAAAGACCTCTCCTCGAGAAGACTGGTCCAGGTAGGTAAGATGTGCTCACAAATAATTAAAACAAGGTAGAAGCTACATGCTAAACTACAGGGAATAGCTGGGGATGATCTATCAAGAATGTATGGTGGAAGTGCACTGAATTGGGTCTTGAAAAGCAGGTTGGGCATATAGAGATACACAATGGAATGTTTATAAGCAAATACATGGAGGTGAGAATTATGGGGCATGTACAACAGATGATAAACAATTTCTTTCACTACCGAGTGGGACACATTTAGGGTAGAGGGTACATGCAGGTAGACAGAATTGGAGAAGTAGGTTGGACCATATTGGGAACCTCCTTGAACTGTGGGCAAAGGGCTAAGAGTTGGTGCTTTTTAAAACCTTATATCATTTTGCCAAAAATAATAGTCCCAATTTCCTTTCTGAAACCTTCCTCATTCCATACCTAATACTTTTAAATATTGGGCCAACGGTAAAAACTTCCTGTACTTTTATCATCTCCCAGTTCGTTCAAGATTACTTATCCATTGAGTCTCTCTGAAATGGCTCACTGCATTTTATAACGCAATTTGAAGACCCAAGTATCACTGAAATTGAGAAACTAACACCATCTATAAAGTATTGTATGCATTTTTACTACATGTAGATTATTGTGGTGACTCTCTGCGTTTGTTTCCAGTACAGAAAAAATTATTACAGCATTTCCGCCGCCCCAACCCCCCACCACCAAAATGTCACTTTCTTGAAGTATTCTCATTTATTCATCAGAGTTTGGAGGAAGGCCACATGGCTGCAAAATATGTATTTATGTCTAATTCGTGCACAGCTTCTGCCTGTAACTTCATTTAAGGTAGCTTAAATGGCACTCGAACAGACAATTTTTACCTGTACATTTGCCAGCATGAAATCACTTTGAAAATCCATTGAAGAACATCTTGAAATTAATCTTCACTGGAGGCTTTCTCTACATAATCTCTGCTAGTTACAAAATTCTTCATAGAGATTCTCAGGGAGTTTCAAAAGCTTTCTGCTCACCCAACAGGATATGGCTCATTTTATAGTCTTTCATATATTACTTTAGAGAAGCACACAAACTTACCATCTTCCTTGCCTAATAGTAAAGGTTGATTGAGATCCTCTGGATTTGTGTTTTCATAGCTATTTTAATGCCCAAAACAACACATAACCAAGCATCCCTCCAGACTTTCAAAGTATCAACAAATAGTGTTTTTGAGCTTGTTTCTCTCAATTTTGTACTCTGTATATCTAATTATGCTTATAGCATGCATAATCCTATGACACCGACTGTCAACAATCACATCACCATACCCATATCTTCCCAGCTAAAAACTGTTTACAATTCAGTGTCACAATTTGATTTTTTTTTTTTTGATTGATGATACTTAAGCAGCTGGGAGAATTAATGGAGTTTAGCAGAGGCCACAGTCCTAACCAGGGTTTGTAATTGATATCTGGGAGGCTGCAGACTTTCCTTTCTGCAAAAGCAGTCCAATTAGTGAGGCCTGCATGTCTGTGCAAGGAGAGAGGAGAAGGTGGTGGAAGAGGAAACCTGAGGTCCCCTGAGGGTTTGAAACTGCTTGGCTCTTTCCTATCAGAACAGTTCCACAGAAGCAAGACAGGCAGAGTGCTTCTAGAAAAGACAGACTCTTCAAACATATTTGCAACATGTATTGCTGCAAATACACATAACATACAGTATTTGCAACTTACAGTCATCATTCTCCAATTAATGTTCAAAAGAGTTTAGTGGTTTATTCCTCTAACCCTTAGGTATATAGGACATAAATTTATTCACTTAAAATTTAACTTGTCAATATAATTCACTCTGGAATATTTTTAAATAGTAAGTTGCTTGATTCACTTAAAATTACTTTATAATGCAATTAACAGAATTGTTTTTAAAGTAAGTCCCTTTGAGGCCTATTATTTGATTTTTAAAATTATTTTTAAAAATAATTTTGTATATACATAATAAAATGGTACAAAGTCTGAAGAATTCAGGGACCACCTTTATATCATTCAGCTTATTTGGTGGAGACCAGACTGGGAGAAAGGGGAAGAGTTTTGATAGCTTAAAGAGCTGTATAAAATTGTTTTAATGATTAATATTCTTTAACTGCAAATGTATGAAACAACTGAATTTGTGGAATGCTTACTTTATTATAATTTTTTCCTTCATCAAACAGATATTTCCATTCCTTTGTTTTCAAATATGTTGCTTAAAATGAAAAGATTTACTTTTAGATTCTCTGTGTTCTTGACTACTGAAGTTTTCTTTTAATTTCAGCCTCTTAAGGTCAGAAGAATATTTGCTTTTAATTTTGCCATGATAACATAGACCTCAACACTTTTGAATGCTTTCTTCATAATTTTTCTGTATATTAAATTGAAAATTCATCTCACTCATAATACCCCATACAAGTCTCTCTTACATTTTATCTACTCTCCTGCCTATGACATTCATTTCTCTTTCCGTCCTTTGTTTGCTTATTGGTTTGTTTTTATTTAATGGCCCACATCATGCTTTGAACTTTGTGTCCTTTTAAATTTAATATTTATACATTATAAATTTCCCAACCCATTGTGTAAATAAATTAGTATATTCATATTCATTTAGTCAAATTTGTTATCGATTATCAGAGACTAAATAATTCAACAAATGTAAATTCAGTACTAAATTTAGAATAAAGCCAAGTGAACTGGTAATCAGAAGACAACATTCCCATGTAAGACTGCAAATCCCAGAAAGGCAGTGACCACGTGGTATTGTTCACTTTTGTATTCTGGGTGGTTAGCAAATTTTCTGACACAGGCACACAGAAGGTGTTCAACAAGTGTTTATAGAACAAATGAACTCTGGGAGGTAAGTATTATCATTTTTCCCATTTTATTAATGAGGTCACATCATTATTAAGTGGTAAAGCCAATATTCAAACTCCAGTATGGAGTTCACATTCTTAATTACTATGTAATATTGCCTGTCTTGGAAATAAAGGAGAGGTATCAAAAATTCCACCACTCTTAGAATTAGGTTTCATCAAATATATGAGACATTAACTAACTTAGCCAAGAACAAAAAGAAATTTTACACTATTACACAAAGATTTTTAAAAGAAATAGAATATTCTCATGTAATCTCATTCAAGTATAGAAAACCTAGAATATTAAATATTTAAATCATGGGAAACCATTAACATATAATTTCTGCTGCACCATTTACTTTACCAAATATCAAAGCATTGTAATTATAGGCTTGCAAAAATGGTAAATGAATGGAAGAGTTCACTCCTAGGTGTATAAAAAAAAATGGAGATCAATATTATGCTATTACTGCTTGGTTTGCACATCAGAAGAAACATGTGAAGCAAATGCCAAGGCACCACAGTGGAGAGCAACGCACTCAGCAAACAGATGGATTCATGTCTGAGATGCCAATAAGTAGATCCTAAATACTTTTCTCTCTAGAAAACCTGTGTGCCTAATTTTCATCTTAAAAGCTCAAATTTATATTTTGCACTCTGGGCTTCATTGTAGATTGCATAATGATCCATTATGTACTAGAAGTCAAGAGTCTAGTATCAGTTAGTTGCTTCTGAATGTTTAAGGCAACCAAGCCCTGGCATTGCTTTGTACAAATGATACATTTGGTTTGCAAAGCCTCAGAAGGTAATGACATAAAGTCGTTCAAAGCTGTCAAGAATCACTGCAGAGAAGACACGTCATAACCAATTATAGTTCCAGTAGGCAGCATTTAATTTTGTGTGAATTTAGTTCAAACTTTGAAGGTGTTTTGACTGATGAGAAATCCTAGGGCTCTGACACAGGATCTCTTAAGGCAGAAGAGCCCCCAGGCATCCACTGAAATTCAACCATAAAGGAGTGAAGGGCTGTGGGAATGCATCACTAATTCATGTCAATAGTCTCATAACTATTCACAATCATAGCAGCTATGGAGCTTAGTTGAGTCTCCCTTAGACACTCTCTGCAAAATATGCATAAAGATCCAATCTCAAAAAGGGTTCCTTACTAGGAAAAAGGAATAATTTTAACCATTATAGTTACCTGGTGGATTTTTGAAGTGACCAAGAGCAAAAAGTATTCCTAAATATTGACTTTGGAAAATCAGACCTTGTTTTTGATGACCTGTATTGCTAGGACTCTAGGAAAAGTCCTGGAAAGTGCTCTTCTCCAGGATCAAGTGCAGTCGGCACATAATGGAAAGCCCACTGTGAAATAATGCTGCTGTGAGCTTTTGGAGCTGAAGGTGAACTGGAAAGAATGATGGCTGAGCGCAATCCAGAATGAAGTAGGCTTTTGAGATGGAAACCTTGAAATCTCAGCTCTGGAAAGACTTTTTCTGAGCTAGTTATTCTGCAAAGATGCAGAGGCCATCTCTGTATTACTACTAAGCAACCTAGTACTAAAATGGTGTCTTATCCAAAATAATCTGTCAAGATATATTTATTGGATTGCTAGAGAAGGATTAGATCTTAGCCTTCTCCAGAAATAGCCTGTCCATGGTCTTTGATCAATCTTTTAATTCATGTTTAAACTTTTATCAAGCATCTTATTTGGTCAAAGATCTGATAATCCTAATGTAGTCCAGATATACAAACTAGATGTGTCATTGTACTAAGAAGTGAAAATATGACAATGGCTTCTCTTGATTATCTCTATACTACTATTGAATCTACTTATTTGCACCATGCTTTTATAGGCCACTGAGTATATATATTAACTCTATTAATCACCACACCTCCATGAGCATTGGTCCCATTTTATAGATAAAGGAATAAAATAGAATGCTACCCAAATGTGCATACATTTGAGCAACAGAACCAAGACTTGAACACAGGTTAATCTTACCAGGACCACTCCAGGATCATCTCTGGGAACTGCTTTCCAAAAAGCCCTTCCAAAATTAAAAGATTACCTTGCTAAGAAGCCAAATGAAACTCTGTCATTCAAAATTTACCTAAACTATTCTTGGAACTGTAAATATCACCTGCAGTTTCTTGAAAAGAAATGACTCTCTTCTCTGTGTGAGTTAGGTAACATTGCAGCTCATATGATATGCACCCAATGAATGATTTTTCCTCTAGAGTAATGGTTAAGCTATTGGTTCTAGAGTAAGACCATCTAATATCATAATACTGGCTCTAGGTATGTGACTTTGGGCAGGTTACATTACTTCTTTGAGCCTCTGTTTCCTTATCTATAAAAGATATAATAATAGTATCTATTTGATAGAGTAACTACGATGATTACATGAAAATGTCTATATGAGGTGATTAGCACTATATTAAACCCTCAATAGATGCTATTTTTTTCATATTTCCTCTTTCCTTTTATTCAGGCTACATTATGCAACCAGATATAGATGATCTAGGTATTAAATATAATCAAAGAGAAATAAGGCTAATATATATCAAGGCTAATTAACACACATATTTATTTGGCTGGGTACGGTGGCTCATGCCTGTAATCCCAGCACTCTGGGAGGCCAAGGCAGGTGGATCACTTGAGGTCAGGAGTTCGAGAAAAACTATGAAGTGGGTAAAGCTTGTCTTTTTTTTTTTTTTTTTTTTTTTTTTTGCAATGGTATCTCACTCTGTCACCCAGGCTGGAGTGCAGTGGCATGATCTCGAATCACTGCAACCTCCACCTCCCGGGTTCTAGCAATTCTCCTGCCTCAGCCTCCCCAGGAGCTGAGACTATAGGCATGCACAAACATGTACAGCTAATTTTTGTATTTTTAGTAGAGACGGGGTTTCACCATGTTGACCAAGGTAGTCTAGAACTCCTGACCTCAAGTGATCCACTCACTTCGGCCTCCCAAAGTGCTGGGATTACAGGCATGAACTACTGCGCTGGCCTAAGCTTGTCTTTTTTGTTCTTAGTCTCCAAGTTGCAGACACCATCTGCAACTTGTATTACTACTAAGCAACCTAGTACTGAAATGGTGTCTTATCCAAAATAATCTGTCAAGATATATTTATTGGATTCCTGGAGAAGAATTAGATCTTTTATAGACTCTTTCCTTGCTCTGTAGTAAAGCCTGATTTTAAGTATGGACGTATAATTTATTTGCAGTAAGATGTAAATGCATTCATTCAATAACAAACATATACTAAATGATCATTTTAACTGATTACAGCCTGAAATAATTCCAGGAGTGCTTTAAAAAAATGTATACTTCAGAATTAAAGCCACTTTTATAGACTATCTATTCTAAAATGATCAAGTTAAAAGGTAAGGAAATTGAGATCCTGAGAACTTTGTATTTTAATAAGAATCAAAAGAATAAAGCTTTATTAATGGCATCTTTGGCACGAGTCAACAGATAGGGAATATACTCCAACAGCGTAACATCATTAAATCACTTATTCAGATAGCTGCTCCCTAGTTCATTCCTAAAGAACAGTCTTATCCATAGGTCCAAGAAAAGCTAGTTGTTTATTTGAAGCAGAGGGTTGCGGGAGATACCAAGTGTTCCCACATGCTTCTAGGAATGTTCTGGGCTTGCTTTCTCATCACCAGTATGCTTACCATCATCATTTCCAATAGGCTTCCTACCTAGAAAAAGAATTGCCATCTCTCTTTATATGATTTTCAAATAATTATAAGTAAATTCTTCAATCTTAATGCCCAATTCTAAGTGTTTCTAGCCAGTCAGAAGGGCATTAAGAAAGCAGATCAAGAACTGGGAGGTAATTTTATGTGTGAACAGAATGTCATTAATTTGAAGGGTCACCTAACTCTGTATCTCTGAGAAATGATAAATGGTTAATCAAGGACAGTGGGGCATGGCATCATTCTCACAGACAGTGAACAGTAAAGCATTACTTTGGAATACTTTACTCCAAATAGCTATGTGATGGCGAGGAATAGAATAGGTCGTTTTTCTTTGTCACTGGACCAACATTTCTTTTAATACACAGTGTGATCAGTGAATCAGAAATGAATGTCCAAGGCCGGGCGCGGTGGCTCACTCCTGTAATCCTAGCATTCTGGGAGACCAAGGCAGGTGGATCACTTGAGGTCAGGAGTTCGAGACCAGCCTGGCCAACATGGCAAAACCCTGTCTCTATTAAAATTACAAAAATTACCTGGGCGTGGTAGCATGAAACTGTAGTCCCAACTACTCGGGAGGCTGAGGCAGGAGAATCACTTGAACCCGAGAGACAGAGATTGCAGTGAGCTGAGATCACGCCACTGCACTCCAGCCTGGGTGATGGAGAGAGACTCTGTCTCAGAAAACAAAACAAAACAAAAAAACAAAGAATGTCCAGCCCAACCCTGAAAATGAAAAGCCAGAGTTCATGAGTAGCTTCTGTAAAAGACAGGTTGCCACAGAAAAAGCTAAAAATGTGAAAAGGACTTCAGTTTACCAAGAAACCCTCTAGCCATTCACTTATCACAAGGCAGTGTCTATGACCCTCTTGAAATAGGCCCTTTGCTCCTGTTCCTTGTCTAAATGCACCAAATCACTAGTTGACAGCTGTACTCTGAGCACAAAGTGATGACCCCTGGAGCCCTGAAAACTGACTACTTCCCACTTTGTCCACTTAAATATCAATCTTACAAGCTTCATGAAAACAACTGTAACAGAACTTAAACTGATATTCTTATCGTCTTAGAATTTTAGCAGAGGCCCAAACACTGAGTATAATTATGCCCAAACCAGTACTAAGACCCTATACATCTTGATATATGGGCCCCTGACACATACAAAGATGGAGTTTTGGTTCATCACTTCTAAGAACCTGAGTGGTGAAGATGTTCTTGGAGACTTGTCAGTGGTTTATGCATTCCCTCAACACAGAATAGTGTAGGAGAAGGAAGTGCTTGTGCTCCCCTACCAACCAAACCAAATGAGGAAGGCTTTGGAAACCCACCCAGATCACTACACCTGTGTCTCCTGGAAGTTAGGTGGCACAGGCTGTTGTATCTGTGCTTTCTGTTTGCTTTTTAACAAGTCCAATTTATTTAATAAAGTGTTATATTGTGTTGGTGTTTATGCACGTATTCTGCAATTAGTACTTTGGAGCTAATAATTACATTTCTCCAAATAATTGCAATAATGCCTTATGTTTATATTAACAACTTATATGTGTCAGACATTGTGCTAAATACTTTTACAAGCATTATTTCATTCGAGCTTAATGATCATCTTAAGAAATTCATTAAAACTATTTTATAGTTAAGGAAACAAAGCCTAGGTTAAGATCACGCAGAAAATGGTGAAGGCAGAACCTGAACTCAGGTGGCCTGTCTACAAAGCTAAAGTCTTATTCAATAGGCTTCCCTTGTAAAACATTGAACTAGGCATTATACAAAATAATAAAATAGTTAATGCTTTTAATGCCTAGCCTATGCCAATATCCATTTTCATCATATTATTTTCCATTTTAAATATTCAGAAATTTTCACATTTTCTACATTTTTATCTAGGTGGCAGGAATGGGATTTTCAGCAATGAGGGAAATGATCTATATCTGTGCTGACCAATATAGCAGTCACTAGCCACATGTGACTGCTGAGCACTTAAATGTGGCTGGTGCAATGGAGGAACTAAATTTTTACTTGAATTTTATTCAAATGTTTTTAACTTCAAACGTAAATGGCCATATGGGGCTAGTGGCTATGGCATTGGAATAACCAAAGATAATACTGCAGGCCTATCTTGGCCTGTCTGTCTATCGGCAGACCCAGGTATACCATATATCACACATATATAATAGAGACTCTAGATTACCTGAAAAAAAAATTCTAGATTAAGGAAGAGGTAAGTGACTCATTTTAGCCAAAAATCCTCCCAAGAAAATCTACCTAATATCTAGGATGATGCCAAAGTTTCAAAGATTCCTTTGGATACAGAGATTATGGATTTCCAATACATTTTGGGATGTTCTCAAAGAATCCAAGCTGATGGACATTTTTATATCACCAAATTAGTTGTCATAAAACACTTTTTCCAAAATTAAAAAAAAAAAAAGGAATCGCTTCCCAATGGTTAGACTTAGATCAAGCTAAATATCTACTATCTGATAATCAAGGCAATTATTAACAGCTAGAGTATTCATTTGTTCTAGGCAACATTTTAAGAATGACATTCTGGAAACGATTTAAAAGACAACAATAAAGATAAAGAAGGTTCTGGAAAGATGGTCATATGAGAAGACATGGAATTGTTAGCCAAAAGAGAAGGCACAAAGGTGGTATAGGTGCTGCCCTTGAGCAATTGAATGCTTGTCACACAGGAAAGAGAATCCTTATTCTATGCTATCCAAAGAGAAGGACTAAGGTCAAAAGGGAGGACTTAAAGGGAGATAGGATGCCCCAATGTAAGCATGAGCAGGAAGTTGAGCTATTCAGCAGAATTCACTATTTAAGAAGTGATACACTCCAGCCACTAATTATGTTCAAACCGGTTGCAAAAAATTTTAAATTATAGTTAAAATGCAAGTCCAGGCCAGGCGTGGTGGCACACAACTGTCATCCCAACACTTTGGGAGGCCAAGGTGGGTGGATCACCTGAGGTCAGGATTTCAAGACCAGCCTGGCCAAAATGGTGAAACCATGTCGCTACCAAAAATACAAAAACATTATCCAGGTGTAGTGGCATACACCTGTAGTCACAGCTACTCAGGAGGCTGAGGCAGGAGAATCACTTGAACCCAGGAGGCAGAGGTTGCAGTGAGCCAAGATCATGCCATTGCACTGCAGCCTGGGTGACAAGAGCGAAGCTCCATCTTAAAAAAAAAAAAAAAGAAAAAGAAAAAATGCAAGCCCACACATTTCTACGGTACTTAATGAAAAGTTGTCACAGGACCTTAAGAACGCAAAAGCTTGGTTTAGCCATTACTTTTTGTTTTTGTTTTTTTAAAAGGAAGGTGTTTTGTGAATATTTATATGTTATTTATAAAATGTAAGTTATAGCTATATCTATGCTATATCTTGTCATTAAAATTTGGGTATTTATCTAAATATATTTCCTAAAAAGGGCAAAGAGCTTTCTCAAGAATTTTTTGATGTAACAGTTCTAAAGACTACCGATGTGTAACTTTGAGATGACGAATGTCTATTATAAGACGTTATATTTGTTGGAATTAGTTGAAAATTCTGAGTGTTCTAGAACAGAGGCCTCAGAAATAACACCACACATCTACAACCATCTGATCTTTGACAAACCTGACAAAAACAAGCAATGGGGAAAAGATTCCCTATTTAATAAATGGTGTTGGGAAAACTGACTAGCCATATGAAGAAAACTGAAACCAAACCCCTTCCTCACACCTTATACAAAAATTAACTCAAGATGGATTAAAGACATAAACGTAAGACCTAAAACCATAAAAGCCCTAGAAGAAAACCTAGGCAATACCATTCAGGATATAGGCATGGGCAAAGACTTCATGACTAAAACACCAAAAGCAACGACAACAGAAGTCATAATTTACAAATGGGATCTAATTAAACTAAAGAGCTTCTGCACAGCAAAAGAAACTATCATCAGAGTGAGCAGGCAACCTACAGAATATGAGAAAATTTTTGCAATCTTTCCATCTGACAAAGGGCTAATATCTAGAATCTACAAAGAACTTAAACAAATTTACAAGAAAAAAACAAACAACCCCATCAAAAACTGGGCGAAGGATATGAGCAGACACTTCTCAAAAGAAGACATTTATGCGGCCAACAAACGTATGAAAAAAACCTCATCATCACTGGTCATTAGATAAATGCAAATCAAAACCACAATGAGATAACATCTCATGCCAGTTAGAATGGTGATCATTAAAAAGTCAGGAAATAGCAGATGCTGGAGAGGATGTGGAGAAATAGGAATGCTTTTACACTGTTGGTGGGAGTGTAAATTAGTTCAACCATTGTGGAAGACAGTGTGGCAATTCCTCAAGGATCTAGAACCAGAAATACCATTTGATGCAGCAATCCCATTACTGGGTACATACCCAAAGGATTATAAACCGTTCTACTGTAAAGAAACATGCACATATATGTTTATTGCAGCATGGTTCACAATAGCAAAGACTTGGAACCAACCCAAATGCCCATCAATGATAGACTGCATAAAGAAAACATGGCACATATACACCATGGAATACTATGCAGCCATAAAAAAGGATGAGTTCATGTCCTTTGCAGGGACATGGATGAAGCTGGAAACCAACATTCTCAGCAGACTAACACAGGAACAGAAAACCAAACACCACATGTTCTCACTCATAAGTGGGAGTTGAACAATGAGAACACATGGACACAGGGAGAGGAACATCACACACTGGGGCCTGTCTGGGGGTTGGGGGCTAGGGGAGGGATAGCATCAGGATAAATACCTAATGTAGATGACGGGTGATGGGTTCAGCAAACCACCATGGCACGTGTATGCCTATCTAACAAACCTGCACGTTCTGCACATGTACCCCAGAACTTAAAATATAATAATAAAAAAAAAGTGTGGTCCCAGCTGCTCAGGAGGCTGAGGCAGGAGAATGGTGTGAACCCAGGAGGCAGAGCTTGCAGTGAGCTGAGATCACACCACTGCACTCCAGCCTGGGCGACAGAGCGAGACGCCATTTCAAAAAAAAAAAAGGAAAGAAAATTCTGTGTGTTCTAATAAAGTTGTAAATTATGTTTACATAGGAGGCAAAGTTTGCTGATCAATCCTATGGAAATTAGTCCAATTTAAGACACCACTGACATAACTCAACCTCTATAAAGTACTAAGTAAATTCTCTTAGAATTAGAAATATATCTAAAAGCATTCTTTCTTGTAAATATTATTTTGCAAGACAAATATGACTTTAACAGATTAATTATAAGAGGCAATGCCTAAATCTTTTTTTTTTCCAAAACATTTTTTCACACTTTTGCCAGGAATTCATTTTCTCCCTTTTCTATTTATCCGAGTACCACTTATCCAAGGCCCTATGCAAGCCTCTTTACCATGAAGCCTTCCCAGATTGTCTCAGCCTCTTTTAAGTTTACACCATAGTCCTGCCTGCACTACTCTATGCTACACAGTTCTTACCATAGGATTCCTAAGTATTCTTTATCCTTGTGTATATTTCTGTTTAACTATGTTGGCTTATCCCTGTTCTAGCACAGTGACTTGCATTAAAAGGCCATGGTAAATGCTAATTACTTGATTGAGAAAAGTTGGAAAATCCATAGATGGGAGAACTGGCCAGACCAGGGAGAATTTCTATCCCAGGTATTCTTTGCTATGTAACAAATTACCCAAAAGCTTAGTGGCTTCAAACAAGAATTTATTATGTTCAAGGATTTATTGGGAATTGGAAAGGAGACATTAGGGCTGGCTTCTCTCTGCCATGAGGTCTGGGGTCTCAGATGAGAAGACTAATCATCAATGGCTGGAGCTGGAATTATCTGAAGACTTACTCATATCTGGTGTTTGAGAGGAAAAGGCTCAAAGGTTAAGACTGCCAAGCGGAGCACCCATCTGTGGCTTCTCTGTGTGGGTTGGCTTCTTCATAACATGGCAGCCCCAGGGGAATCAGACAGGACTCCCAGAAGGAGTATTTCAGTGCAACAAATGAAAGCATTTTTGGACCTGGCCTCTGAAGTCGCATAGTGTCACTTCTACCATACTCTATTGGTTGAAGTAGTCACAAGCCTACCCAGTTTCAAAGGGGAGAAAACATAAACCCCACCTCCTCATGGAAGGAGTGGCAAGGTCACATTATCACATAGCATGTGGGATAGGAACTATTGTAGCAGCCATCTTTGGAAAGTACAACCTGCAATGTTTAAATTCTTTGGAAAATGCAATTTCTAACCCAAGTCTAGGCTTTAACAGACTACAGTTTTGGACATGTTCAGTCTGTGACCAAATGTTCTGGAACTACATGGAGTCCACAGCCAGAATATCTTGTTAATAACAATAGCAATAATAGACATCATTTGTTAACACACACTAGTGAATACTTACCAATGTCTTACAAGCATTTCCTAATTCCTCAAATTGATGCTATGATAAAGGGCTAATCATTATTCCATTTCACTAACGAGAAAATTGTGGCACAAAATTGTCAAGTGAGTTGGGCAAGATCAGTGGAAGCAAGATTTGATATCAGCCATGTCTGTCTGACTCTGGAGTCTAGCTTTTTAATCCTGAAGCTGTACTGACTCTATATATGACATTGTCAGAGGCATGTGAACCAGAGCAACTCCATCTGGAATAGGAGCTGTGTAAAATAAGGCTGAGGCCTACTGGGCTGCGTTCCCAGAAGGTTAAGGCATTCTAAGTCATAGGATGAGTTAGGAGGTCAGCACAAGATATAGGTCATAAAGACGTTGCTGATAAAACAGTTTGCAGTAAAGAAGCCAGCCAAAACCCACCAAAACCAAGATGGCCACGAGAGTGACCTCTGGTTGTCCTCACTGCTACACTCCCACCAGTGCCATGACAGCTTACAAATGCCATGGCAATGACAGGAAGTTACCCTATATGGTCTAAAAAGGGGAGGCATGAATAATCCACCCCTTGTTTATCATATCATCCAGAAATAACCATAAAAATGGGCACCCAGCAGCCCTCGGGGCTGTTCTGTCTATGGAGTAGCCATTCTTTTATTCCTCTACTTTCTTAATAAACTTGCTTTCACTTTACTCTATGGGCTCTCCCTGAATTCTTTCTTATGCAACATCCAAGAACCCTCTCTGGCGGTCTGAATCAGGACCCCTTTCCTGTTACAACATTGTTCATCTTAAAGGCTTCAGAGCCCTTCGTTCTTACAGCTCTTTGTAAATAACTAGGTCTATGTGGGGAATGTCACTTTTATCACTGATTCCTCCTGTAGCATGTTATATTGTTTCTGGTTATGTTTCAGCATGCACAAGCCCTTCTGGAAACTTTGAAAAATTATGTTTCATTCTGTTCCTCTAACCACAACTTGGTCATAAATGCTTCTGGAATTTGTTTTCATCAGCTCAGGGCATCATTTCTTCCTTTGCTCTTGCCTGCCACAGCAATGTCAAAGCGGCAAGCAAAAACACATCCACTGATAATTCTTTTTATCTTCTAACAGCAACTTTTGTTTCTATGTCTGAATCATCCTTTAGGGCTCATACCCTGTTCTGGAGTGAATGTATTACATCATGTATTTGGAAGGGGTTTTGTTGAGTGCCTGAGTGATGGTTTTCTCCAACTTATGGGGCAGAAGGTTCTTGTCGCTTACTGCCCGAATTTTTCCAATCTAATTAAACACAAATTAGTGAAACCTGAGATACCCTGAGGACTCATTAAAGAGAAACTGCCAAACCTCTGAAAAACAGAATTTCCACATAGATTTCCCTACAGCTATGTTTGTCAATTTGTAGAAAGCTAAGAATACTCCAAGTAGTGATTAACGGTCTGAATGAAATTGCACACACGCACAAAAGAGCCCATTTAATAAACCAACAATGGAAGGTACAACTGTGGATCAACTGCTCCACATTTCTCTCCTTGGAGGTTCAAATGCAGCAATGAAACTAAGCTGGTACTTGAATGAAGTGATTTTCCTCCCTGAAAAGGAATCATGTTTCATCCCTACTTTCTAAATTCTTTTTTGTTTTGCCAGACATCTATTCCTTGTATTACATAAGAATAGAAAGCCACAAATTGTCTAGGCACAGGTGGTCTAGCTTTGAAAGATGCTAATATCCACCATTCAACTAGAATCTCCCAGACTGTTTAATTGGAATTTTGTTTTGTTCTGTTTTGTTTATTTGTGTGTTTAGCATTAGCAGGGGGAACAGAAAACTGTCTCTCCTTTAGGCTGAGCACTTGGGAATAGACTTCCAAACATCAACTTAAAAGCCAAGAAAGAAAAAAAAATACTCGGGTAACATAACAGCTGCTGAGCTCTACAGAACACAATTACTAAAAACATCTTGTATAGCTGTGAAGGGACACTCAAAGAGCTTTTAGCTAGTATAGATTCCTGGGTAGATTTTAAACTTTCTAAGACAATGCATAGATATATCAATGGAGAACATGCACATCTGGAAAAAATCACAAAATAACTGGGATAGAAAAAGAAGGGAGACAAATTCCCTACAACAGCCACTGAACTACAGCAACCCATGAAACGCAAGGATGGATTAAATGGCAACAAATTCTTTAAGAAATTTAATAGGATTATGTACAGAATATAGTACTCATTTCATTTCCTAGAATGATAAAGGCTGTCATCACTGGTCATTAGAGAAATGCAAATCAAAACCATAATGAGATACCATCTCACACCAGTTAGAATGGTGATCATTAAAAAGTCAGGAAACAACAGATGCTGGAGAGGGTGTGGAAAAATAGGAATGCTTTTACACTGTTGGTAGGAGTGTAAATTAGTTCAACCATTGTGGAAGACAGTGTGGCAATTCCCCAAGGATCTAGAACCAGAAATACCATTTGACCCAGCAATCCCATTACTGGGCACATACCCAAAGGATTATAAATCATTGTACTGTAAAGACACATGCACATGTGTTTATTGCAGCACTGTTCACAATAGCAAAGACTTGGAACCAGCGCAAATGCCTATCAATGATAGACTGCATAAACAAAATGTGGAACATATATACCATGGAATACTATGCATCATAAAAAAGGATGAGTTCATGTCCTTTGCAGGGACATGGATGAAGCTGGAAACCATCATTCTCAGCAAACTAACACAAGAACAGAAAACCAAACACTGCATGTTCTCACTCATAAGCGGAAGTTGAACAATGAGAACACATGGACACAGGGAGGGGAACATCACACACCAGGGCCTGTCATGGGGTGGGGAGCTAGGGGAGGGATAGCATTAAGAGAAATACCTAATGTAGGTGACGGGTTGATGGGTGCATCAAACCACCATGGCATGTGTATGCCTATCTAACAAACCTGCACGTACTGCACATGTATCCCAAAACTTAAAGTATAATAATAATAATTTTAAAAGATAAAGTCTAAAAGGAATCTCAAAACAACATTCTGTGTAACCTTCTTATCTTATGTTTTATTTTGTTTGATAAGAAGACAATAGAGAAAAAGTAGATAATTATCAGTATGAATGGGACTAGCTACTGGCAACCTAGCTTCTGGGCCGTTACCCTTCCTATCACACTTCTTGGTACCTATGTTTTACAGAGTAGCTTACAGTATTGTTATATGAGTCATTTCATTATATCTTCACATGTGAGATATCAGAAAAGGCATCAGTTCATTTTGAAGATGATGCATTTACTTAAATGCAATGAAACATAGAAAGTTTAATGTCCTAATGCTAGTTACACAGATAATGATACAAACAAGACCAAACCCCAGGCCTCTAGGTTTCAATATATATGTATATTATCTACTCTGGAGTTTAAGTGATTATATTCACTGAATGTTACCATTTACAAATGTCAGGTTCTATACAGTGATACCTTGAATAATGTCCTTTTATAACAAATTCCTTTGTGAAAAAAAAAAAGCCCATGATATTAATAGAAAAGAAAACAGAAGCAACAGGCACATAGCAGTAATATTTCATTGGTGGAAAAATTTAAAACTAACCAATCAGCAAACACTTTTCTCAGTGTTTTGTTTTTGGTTTTTTCCCTATTTTAAGAAAAATATAGCTGGTCAAAGGTAAGAAAAAGTTTATTTGCTTTATTTTTAGCCACTACATTTTTTCCCAACTATTCCATTCACCACCTTCTCTTGTCAGAAAAGGAAAACCTTCTTTCATTCATCTGTCTGGCCATTCATCAGGTTCTTATTGAGCACCTAATCCCAAGCTAGAACTATGCTAGCTGCGGGGATACAATGGTAAACAAGAAAGACCAAGAAACCCCCAATCTAGCAGAAGACGTAGACAACTGAAATGGCTTTTGCAATACAGTGCTCTAAGGGCTGTGATGAGAACAGCATGCTTTGACCGCCACTAACTCCCATTGGGGAGGCCAGCGGGAAACCTCCTGGAGAAAATTACTCTAAGCTGAAACCTAAAACAGGGCAGAGTAGGGAATGAGGAAGAGTTTTTAAGGGAGCAACTGATGTAAAGGAGTAAAAACAAAGGGTTTCCTGTTCAAAGAACTGAAAGAAGTTGGTGAAAGAGGGGACAGAGGAAAAAGATGGGATTGGATTAGGAGACCAGGGCCGTATCTCACTGAGTGTTGTCAGCCATACCAAGGGCTTGAACTCAATCTTAAGGGTAACTGGAGTAAAGTTAAAGGGTTCATTAGGGAAAACATGAATAAATATCATTCTCCAATAAAATCTCTTTCACCTGGTTTCCAGTAACAACCTCCTAACTGGTTCCCTAACTGGCATGAATGATTTTATTGGAGAATGATATTTATTCATGTTTGTTTTTGGGGTTGTTGTCATTGTTGTTGTTGTTTTTGAGGTGGAGTCTCACTCTGTTGCCCAGGCTGGAGTGTAGTGGCATGATCTTGGCTCACTGCATCTCCGTCTCCCAGGTTCAAGCAATTCTCCTGCCTCAGCCTCCTGAGTAGCTGGGATTACAGGCATGCACCACCACGTCCGGCTAATTTTTGTATTTTTAGTAGAGACGGGGTTTCACCATATTGGCCAGGATGGTCTGGATCTCTTGACCTTGTGATCCGCCTACCTCAGCCTCCCAAAGTGCTAGGATTACAGGCATGAGCCACCGTGCCCGGCTCTACACATTTTCTTTTCTTTTCTTTTTTTTAATATAATAATAATGTTTATGCGAGGGAATCAGGATAAAACTAAAATAACAGACTAAACGTACATAAGAGAGAGGGGTAATTGAAGTTAAAGCATTCTTTTTCTTTTTTTTTTTTTTTAGGTGGACAGGAAGTAGAATTTATTGGTGAGTATTAAGAGGGGGAAGCACAGTGAAAGCCCTCATGAGTGCAGGGCCCACCACTTCTCTAGAGGGCCACAACTGGGAAGGTACTTGACCCCACAGCCATCTGGGATGAGCCGCTTCTCAGCCACCATGTCTTCAAATTCATTGGCATTGAACTTGGTGAAGCCCCACTTCTTTGAGATGTGGATCTTCTGGCAGCCAGGAAACTTGAACTTGGCCCTGCCCAGGGCCTCAATCACGTGCTCCTTGTTCTGCAGCTTGGTGCGGATGGAGATGATAACTTGGCCAACTGGCCACAGTGCCCCGGGGCTTTCCAAAGGCACCTCGCATGCCTGTTTGGAGCCTACACTGGGGTAGTGCAAGGTCAAAAACATGTACATCCATCTGAAAGGACTGTCTCCAAGGCCCTTTAGAGCAACCCGTACAACAAACAGGCTGCATACACTACCAAGGAAGCTGCTGTTTGCAGCCATTGCACACTGGGACACATTTTCTTAACACAAGTTTGAATTCCCCAGGACTCATTATTTTGACCTCGGCTTTCTGAAATGGAAGTTTGACGTAGATATACATTCTTTTCCTTAACAAAGGAGTTACAGATCATGAGTTGGTTAGTGCAATATACTTAAAATTGCTCCTTGCACATATGTCCACAAGTTTATCTTCTTCCCCTGGGTTCACAGCTTCCTCTGTTACCCTTACAGGGTCTCCGCATCTGTATTCACATGGGACAGCCTTGAGCAGCACAGCTCAGACCTCAGCTCGGCTGGGACGTTGTAGAAGAAAGTAGAGTACCAGGAGGAGAATGAAGTAGATGAATTCTAAGATTCTACGCTCTCTAGTGGAGTGTTGTTTCCTAAAAAATTATCAGACCACACATTCCACACATGAAAAATTCATCATACTTTGAAGATAATTAAAGTAAATGTCATCCAATTTTAACCAAATTTCTATTCTACCACTAAAGGACATGCAAATGGCTTCTTTTAAAAATATATATAGCCAGAATGGTTTTTGGCAATATAACAATGAAAAAACTGAAACATTTTGGGGGTAATTAACTCATGTTTTAGATATCTACCATTATTAAAGTTTTCATGGGTAAGACTAGATCTTAAAACAGATTGATTTTTTGATGACCAGAAACTGAACTGAATTTGAACAAGTCCCATTGGGACTGAATTTTTAGCATCTCAAAAGTGGTGTTTAAAACCACACTACTCTGACAATGGGAAACCAATGAACATAGTACAGCCACAGGATCTTTATATACTGCAATGGGTGGAAGTAAAGTTTCCCTAAAATAAAATTGATGTTCCTATTATCAATTATCCCACAAGGAAGTAAATCCTGAGACAAGAAAGGAGGGCTTGGGAAATATATGTCAGTTACCGAAGACAAAGAGAACCTCTCCCTTTTCTAGGTGAGGGACTCATCTTAATGAGCAATGAAGCCTCAATACTGTAACAGCCAGTGCTAGTGACTGGGCATGGGGTGAGTTGCCCCTATAATCAAGAATAAAGCAAGCACCTGCCTGATGAGGAACCCCCAAAGGATTTGGAACAGAGGCGGCAATTTTCAGATGTTTTGTATAAGTTGCACTTCCCTTCTATTATCCTCAAACAATATGTTTTAAAATGCTCCAAATCCTAAAAATCTGAAAATGATTAAATGTAGTTCCTGGCCTCTCCTTTACTAAGAGAAATTAAAGAAAAAGGAGACGCCCAACTGCTGGAGTGCACATGTCTAGTGGAGTTGTTTACCCTTTCCCAAGTCCGAGGTGGCTTTGGCAGCAGCAATTATGGTTGGAGAAAACCGTGCCTGCAGTGATGTTCTCACAGACAGTTCAGTAGAAAAAGGCCAGCTGAAGAGAGATTCTGGAGCAACCAGCACCTGAGCCAGTGGTGTGGATGCCCTGCCATGAGGGCCTGCAGCAGCATGCAGTGAGAACATTCGGGATTTCCTTTTGAGAATGTCAAGTCATCACGGACAGCGGCTCATGAGTCAGACCTCACCCCGTGTATCATCGTCAGAACACCATCCATGGTGGTTTGGACCATTACGCAGTTTTAAATTGTTTTTGTTCTTATTCATTGTTTAATTTATATCTGTGGTGGATCATTGGTTAAAGACAGGAAGCAAAAGAACACTGATGTTGAAATACAAATTTATACGAAACATAAAAGAGATAATTCTATAAATTCCCTTAAGAGTTTCTTTAACCAAACCTACCAGTTGCATTGAACTAATCAAAATATTTATATAGCACATCACGCTCTCTCTAGTTCTACTTTTAGAATGTTGAAAGGGAAACTATTTTGCCAATAATATGGAATTTGGGTTTTTTGTCTAATGGGATTAAATATTATCCATAACAAAATGTTTTATTTGAGCATAGGCTAGGAAAATGACAACTGAAATCTTTTCTCTGAACCCATATTTTAGGAACAAAAATATAAAAATTATTTCAATAAAACACTTGTGTTTTTAAAAGTAAAATCCAAGAAATCCAAACATAAAATAAGCAGTTTTGTTGATGTCGCCACAAGTAGTTACATTTATATCTATATTTTAATATATATTTGGTCCCCAACTAAATATTATAGAAATCATTTTACATTTCAGATCTTTCAATTTTTTAAAACTAAAAAAAAATTTTAAATAAAATTTTAAAAAATTGATAGCAAATGTTACTTGTTAAGTGGGAAAACGTTAAAATGTATTTTATATAATAATTATTAAGATTATATTTAAACAATCAATTAAGACAACCATGTAATTTATCATCCAAACTAGAACAGTTTTGAGAATGGAAAGGGCTACTAATAATCATCATCCCAGGAGAATATATAAAATCCAGGCCTATCCTAAGGAAATGGGACTGTCGGTAATACTACTAAGAATATGATCTGTAATAACATCTTGGCCTTTTCATAAATTTTAAATTATTTATTATGCAACACATAAGATGATGAGATGATTTTTACTGTAGAAGGGATATATGCCAGAAAACGAACCTAAACTAGATTGTGCTATTTTAATCCAATTCCTTCATTTCACAGATGAAGATCATAAACCTAAATATGCTAAAAGGTATGACCAAGGTATGACACCTAAGCTAGAAGAAACTTTCATGCCTTTAAATTATAACTACTTGCTTGATGACAGATGACCGGGAAATTAAAAACATAATTTTAATAACTACTTCCTAAAATTATAACAAGTAATGTGAAATAATTAGCACCTTTAATAAAAATCTTGAAAAATAATTGTTATTGTCAATATTCTGAGATGTTGTACCATGCCTATTTATAGAAACTCTAATAATCAGTCCCAGTGGCAGAAAAACTTACCAAGGTTGTCAGAGGTGAGACAGACAGGTGTGGGCTGGTAACCTGAAGCAGCTGGTGATCTGAGCAGTTCCTCATCTGGAAGGTCATAGGAAAGGGAAAGTTCTCACACTGACAACTGAGCCTGCAAGCTCATCCCCACCAGTCCCGCAACATGGTGGCCTGCTTAAGTAACAATGACTGAGCCTGAGATGGTACAATGAAAGAACGGTAATCTTGTGCCCAGATGTAGAACATTCAGAATCTGGAGAAGTAGTGCCATCTGATTTGTGGAAACAGCCTAAAACAACAATACTGGGACAGAGGCAGATGCAATGGCCACTAGTAGCCAGATTAGACTTCAGTTCTCATTTCACCTTCCATTTGTAAACGGGTCTAACCTCTCAGAATTCAGCAAACCTCAGAATCCGTGGACAATTTGGGGAAGGAGTGCAATGGAGTTTTAATAAAAAGCTACAGAATACTCTGCTGAACAGTAGAAGGGGCATCTTGAGCAATTCTTTGGAAAAATTAAACATGACACAAAAGCCATTCACAAGTGGTGTTTCCATTATGCTTAAATTCAAATTGTGTAAAACCCAGTGAAGATAGAAAGGGAACTGGTAAATTGGACCATTATAGATCATTTTATGTGTATAATTGAATGATTCTTACATAATTTCAGCATATTAGTTGACAAATTAGAAAAAGAAGAAAATAAACAATGTTCGGTCTGATTAAAGGAATAAAGGCAAGAAGTAAGTAGAGTAATGAAGAGAAGTGAAATAAGACAATAATGATGAAGACAGATAATAATGGCACCTTAGCGGGAAAAGTCCTTCCATTGCTACTTAGTGGCAGTTTTTTCAATTTCTTTTTCCACAGTAAACTTTTCACACAGCCCTTTGAGTTCTACAAAAGAAAGAACACAAGATTTGAAGATGGAAAATTTGAACTTAAATCGTTGCTCCACCATTGACCTTGAGCCAATAACATTGTTTTTTTATCCTTGTTTCCCTTTACTGCAGAGGAGCAGGAATGCCTTACTCACAGGGCTTGTTGAAAGAAATAAACACAGTAATTATGTGAGCAGGTTCAACATACAGAAGGCCATCAAATATGTTAATTTCTTTTCAAGAATATTTAAAATAATCTTGAAGAATACTTTACAAGGAAGAATGTCTAAAAATATAAGAAACATTAAAGAAAAGAAAGAATCTGGAGAGTCTTACAGGGAGTTAGCCATTTAAAAGAGCTCATTAGCATTTCATAACCTTTCCAGTTAACAAGGTGCTGTTCTGAAGATTCTATCATTATATGATACACAAGTTGCAATTAATGAAATATGGAGAAATGAAAACTCTATTAGAAAATTGCCAGTTAGCAGGACAGGGATTGTAATTATTCCTCAAATAATTGTAATTTGAGGAAAAGCATTAATAATTAAAAGGTCAAGATGGTCCACCCCTTAGGAACCTAAGTAGCAGGGAGTTTATAATGCAAATTATAGTTTTTATTAGGTATGTGAGGGGAAAACTTCACCTCTGAGCACAAAAACTCTAAAAGAGGACAGACTATCTTTTTTACTTACCTGAACAGTTTCCTATTCTTCTTTTGTTTGGTCTAGACATTACCATCACCTTTCTAAGACGTTCATTGAATGTTATAGGTCCCAAGAATAAAAAAAGTGTAACTAATTGTGTAGCTAAAATAAAAACAATTTTTAAAGTAAAGAATAAAAAATAGGAATTAACGATGAGATACGACAGAATAAACAATAAAAGCCAAGTTTTCCAGGGTAGATCAGGGTCACCACTGTCACCATCAGCATTATAATATCTCCTTTATTAGCTGTTACAAAATCTAGAGCATTTCTTAAGATTCCTCCTAGAAAATTCCAGAAGTCCTAGAGATTATTTTAAATATGCTCATTATTAACCTCCTAGATACCACTTAGCACCTGTCATTTTTCTCTACCCCTGTTTCAACAGCTGTAGTAATGGCTTCTGGAGAAATGGCAGAATCAATGAGAATTAGCCAAACCAATTCCATGAACAATTCCGGTAAGTCATGTCCTCTCCATTTCTGCAAGTCAGGATTAGGCTGCTTCAGCTCACACTCCAGTGCTCCAACAAATAGAGAAAAGAAACATTCCTCATGCCTCTTGAACTGCCCTGCTGTAAAATCCATATGTTGAAAACATCTTAAGGCACTCCAATAAAACAATCTTCTTTTTTCAAATGTGTAAGTATTATGTTGAACAACTATGGTCTGTAAGAAATTAGAAAGCCGTTCTGTTTTGTTCTGCTGTCTTTATATTTATTCAATATTTGGGGGATTGTCCTTCCTCTGTCCCCTGGATAAAAACTTGGGCAGGCCACGGCATTTTTCAGGTAATTTTTAGGTAACACAAATAGTCAGTGGTGTACTGAATCTGCTTATACTAACTTGCAAGATTGCATGTATTTCTTCCTAACTCTGCATTTAGTGATATCATGTTGGAGACTTAAAATACTCACCTAGGTTGACAGAGAGAATATATCTTAAGAGGGACAGACCTCTGAATGGTACTGCTCTTCTCCCTCTGCCCAGATGACATCTCCATCCTCCCAACTGGTGCAAGTGTGTGGAAGGCATGGATGCAGTCAATATTGAAAGAGATCACATTCTAGGAGTGTAGTGATTATAGCCTACAAAGGTCAAGAGAAGACATGGTGTGAAGATCTGTTTTCTGAATGATAAATTTAACATGATGAGTAAATGAATTATTGCTCACATGTTCCTGCATGCTCTGGGTGAGATTTGCATTTTTGTTCATCAACAATGAAGCTCAGTATCATTCTTTGAAAGATTCACTGGACACCACTCTTCAAGGGCAGCAAGAAAGATGATACACTGTCATGAGTAATGAGGTAATCAATATCAAATAAGTTGTATTAGAGAATTGCAGAAACAAGATCTATACTGTTTCTATACAATTGAGTCCTGAAGAGTCATGGCCGAGTGAGTCATCACAGCACTGCTACATTTTTCTCACAGTGGGAGATATAAAATTGACAAGAAGTGGACTACAAAGACTATAAAGAGAGAGTTCCTGGATTTGAACAGGAAGAGACAATGCCTTAACACTGCAAGGAATCTTCTTGTGCAGTGACTGGACAATATGCAAACACCTAAGTGCTTCTCTAGATCTTCACCAATCAAGATAAATCACTACGCCTCACATGAGCCCATACATTTTCCAATACATTTTTTAAAGAATTGCTTTTATAGACAGGAGTCCTGCAAAAAAATATTTGCCAGTGTTTCATATACATTATGTGTGGCCAAAGGCTAAAGGATGGCTAAGTGACAAAACTTCTGCTGAACTAAAGATGGCCTCTACACTTGACACAGTCCCATGTTCTTTGGCCAGACTTCAGATCCCCGACAATCTCCTCTGTTAGGATAACTACTTTTCAGCAGTGGTTCCTTGACCCTTTATGAAATTAAAGCTCTGTTGGAACACCACACCGCCCCCCACCCCCACCCAAGCTATCCAAGCATGTTTTTACGTAGCTGAACACGCAATAACGTAGTCAACGATCTGCACTAACCTCAGTGACTCCTGCTTTACAAAGCCTTCCTTATTGATGTGTGTTTGGAATTGAATGAAGGAGAGGGAACAAAGACAAATTATGAGCAAGGAGAAAGGAGAAGGAAGCACAGGAGATTGCAGATCTAACACTGCAGAAGTTAGCCTAACAAAATAGAGGGCCCAGTGAATACATTTAGGAAAAGGAATATGGGTCTATGAAACTTTGAATACAGCGCCAATTCTGTCATTCCTCTGTTCCTCCACATATATAATTCCTCATCATTCTCAGGAAACTCCATTTCTTTCCCAGACAGGAGTGTTGGAATACATCTCCCTCTCCTACTAGATAATCCATAGAACACAACATCCTCAGCAGTACATTTCTGAACTTTGAGCTATGCTGACTAGAATACGAGGAGAATGAGTGGAAGACTTCGGTCCAAGGTGGGGCTTAGCCTCTGAAGTGTGGTATAGCCATGTTTACCATGCTTTCAGACCTTTCGCCATACAGATTAAAAATAGTGTAGTAAGAATGTGCTTATTGCCTATTTACAACTATATAACTTGAGGCTAATGACACAACGTGGCACCAGTGATGGAGTAAGAAACTGAAAGCAAAATTTGAATGTTAGATTTAGGTGACAAGGTTTGCCAAGCAAGTTTTTGCAATCATTTCAGTAATTATTCTGAAATTTTAGGGTGGCATGATTGAGGTCCAAAAAGTTCAAGATCATGATTGGTACTTCCTACAGCATTGCAGGTCCTCATGAGGCTGAGGACATTAGCCAAAGATCAAGCATGCCTTCTTTGAGGGAACCAGAGGAAACTTGATAAGCTGTTGTCATGGAGCATCTGCTAATTAATGCTACCTTGTCATTTTTGTTGAACGCTATCTCCATCTCTTTTAAGGTAAATGCAATAAAGTGTAATTCACATACAATCTATGTGCTTCAGTCTTCATTTTATTCTATTCTCAAGTCCTGTCTTCTGTAGACTTAATTCACACTCCAAGTCCCTACTTATTTTTCTGCATCATCTAGTGTATTACCATTGAACTCCAATGGGTTTTATACACACACATATGTACATGCACATGTGGATTCACACACATATTCCACGAACAAGAATTGATTTTCACAGTCAGCACATGATGCACATTTTACATCATGATCTAATAAAAACATACACATGTATAAATATAACTGAATAAATGTTTGACACACAATAATTATCCCAATACATATGACATATTCTGCTATTATCTATTTTATTTGTAATGCTAATATTCATGAACTGATTAGTTTATCTAATTATGGGTTTCAGCCTGTAATTTAAATCCATTTTGCTCTACATCCAACGTGCAGATTGTACCCTGGAATACATTGGTGAATAACCAATAAAATTCATTATAGAATTATCTGCTCTTCAGGCTCACCCCTCAGCTTTTTCTTTCTTTACTTTTTGGTCCAAGTGAAATAACTGTGCCAAGCATTTTACAGTATTCCCAACTAATCTCTGAATTCAAAAGGGAGGCATATATCCTCATTTTCAAGTAAATTTAAGAATTAAACACTTGTTCTGCCAGAAAGATAAACATACATATACCTACCTACACACACACACATACACATGGACAGAAATAAAGGCCTGGAAATAGATGCCCAACATTTATAATAGTGATTATCTCAAGATAATAAGACTGAATAAAAAAGGGAAGGGAATGAGGGACTATCACCTTTTACATTATGTACTTCCACACTTTTCTACAATAGGCTTGTATTATTATTGTACTTTTTAAGTTAATTAAGATATATTCAGTTGTAGAAATTTGGAAAACATGACAATAAATCTCCAAAGTCTCACCACCCAGAAAAAAATCGGTCATAAAAATTGGATACATTTCTTTTCATCTTTTCTTCCATTAACATACACACACAATCACACACATACACACAGAACACTATAATTATAGTAGACATAGATTTTTATCCTTTTTCACTTAGCATTATAATCAAGGATATTTAGCCAAGTTGTTAAAATTTTTTCAACTACTTAGCATTTCATAATTGCATATAGTTCATCAAATGGGTATTTCAAAAAATAGAAAAGTGGTCATTTATTATTAAAATTATTTCCAGAATTCTCAATAAGAATATTTTAATAAATTATAACCCCCAAATGAAATAATAAAATTATTAAATTTCTACCACAATTATGTGTAAAACAGACATACACAGTTGAACAAGATTGAAGCCCACAGAATAGTTTAAAAAGGAGTGTGCCTTAGTATCATTAAACATTTCTTACCCAGTCTTCAGGTAAAATAGTTCACATAAGTGTTCAGCACTTTGAGGATATAATCATTTAAAAATGGCTTAGAAAATTTACAAATAATTAAACTTAATTAACTTTAATAGGGCAGCATGAATAGAGCTACACAGATAAAATAAACAATACAAACCATTAAATGGAGGAAAAATCTAGAATGGGCATAGTTTTAAACATATTCCACTTGAAGAACCTGTACAAACCTAGTGGTAATAGCTAAATAGGCAGCTAGGCTTGTACCGGTCAAGCTCAAAGGAGATAAAGTGGTCAGACTGCATATTTAGCAACAGGGAGCTAAAGCCATGGCCAGTGAATGAGCCCAGACAAGTACTGTACATGGGATGAAAGAAGACCATGGTCACACAGATAAACCAGGTCATTCAGCTCACCCCTACTTCTTTCCTCTTTAGCTTTAGAGATCATATATATGTACCCTCCTCTTAAATCTATATCACATGTTTTGTATCCCTAAACATCTTATGAGCTTTTCAATGACATGTATTTCCTTTTCAACCATGTAATACACAGTTGGATGCTAAAAGAACTCTGGACTTTCAATTACAGTAATTATAAAGTCTTTAATTCATATAATCCTATACATAATATAAATAAGAATCTGCTCTAAAGGCATTGGAGGCTCAGCAAAATAGTGAGTAATTACCAGGCCATGATCCAGAAGAAGAGGGAAATCAATAGAGGCAAGGTCAGGATTTAGGCTTACTCTTTCCTGGGGCACTGGCTAATACTGGAAGAGGCTGCTTAGGGGCTGAGGGGCTGAGTGGTGCTCTTAACAACATCCCAGGAATAAGCAGACAGAAGCTGGAGGCCAGGACCTGCTTGAGAATACAGAGGTGCCGATAAATCTTATGCACTTTGGGTTAGGACACTGAAGAGTTATATCCAAGGAGTAAATGTTAACTAGAAGTTGTTCATCACTGGAACTACAGCTAAGCTTTCTTCTTCTTTCATCCCATGTACTGTCTTTAGAGCTCGACAGGTACAGTTTCTCTCAGTCCCAGAAATTAAATTGAGGTGATCAGATTACTAGTGTACAGAGGCAACTGTTGAAGCAAAAGTAAACAATCTCCAGAGAAAAATATTATACTAGGCCTCAATTTCTACAAGCAATTTTTAAGTATAATGTCTGCCTCACAATAAAAAACATCCATGCATGTGAAAGGACAAAATACAATAAATGAGAACCAACAGAAACAACAGGATAATTAAAAGGCCTGTAGGGCCTGTAGATGCTGACGTTATCAAACACAGACTTAAACTATGCTGACCATGATTAAGGTTATAAAGGTATAATTAAGAATTTCAATTAGGACAGAACTGAAAACAATTTTAAAAAGACATAGTACATTCTTAAGAACACACAGAATTTCTAGAAATAAAAAATACAGCTAACAAATTAGGAACTCAATGATGAGTTTAATACTAGTTTAGATGCAACTGAAGAGAGAATTCATGAAGTGACACGAAAATCAAAAGAAACAATCTAGAATGTAGTACAAAGAGAGAAAAAGATAAAAAATACAGAAGCAAGGATAAGAGATGTAGAGAACAGAATAAGAAGCTCTAAACTATGTGTAAATTATAGTCCCAGAAAGAAAGCAGGGAGTATATGTGGCAGGAGTAATATTTGAATAATGGCTAAGAATATTCCAAAACTGAATGTTCTAGACATAGATTTGAGAAACCCTGTAAACCCAAGCAGGTTAAATAAAAGCCAGCGATAATGAATATTTAAAGTGCTAAAAGAAAATGTTGTCACTGAATGTTTGTATCCCCCTGAAATTCATATGTTGAAGCCTTAACCTCTAGTGTGACTGTATTTGCACGTAAGGCCTGTAAGAAGGTAATATGGTTAAATGAGATCATAAGCGTGGGCCCCAATCCAATAGGGCTGGTGCCCTTGTAAGAAAAGGAAAAGGAAAAGATACGGGAGCTCTCTCTCTCTGCCATGTGAGGTCACAGTGAGAAGGCAGCTATCTGTAAGCCAGGAAGGGAGCTCTCAGCAGAAACTGAATTGGCCAGCAACTTGATCTTGGACTTCTCAGGTTTCAGAACAATGAGAAAATAATTTTCTATTGTTTAAGTCACTCAGTCTGTGGAATTTTGTTACGGCAGCCTGATCAGACTAATGTAGAAAATAAGTGCCGATTTATAATTCTAATAAAGTAAAATAAAAACGTTTGGGGATAAATAGTGAGTGAGAGAATTAATTATCAGTAGGTTAATACTGCTGGAAAGGAAGTATCCAAAGGCATTTTTATGTGGAAGGAAAGGAAACCAGATGAAAGGCAAAAGATGAAGATGAGGAAGACGAAGAAGAAGAGGAGGAGGAGTAGGAGGAGGGGAAGGAGGAGGAGAGGAATAAGAAGAAATAGCAAATAAAGTAGTGAATTTGTGAGTAAATGCATTCAAATATTAATCATATAAAGTAATAACAAAAGTAGCATTTAAGTTTGGGGTGTGGTAAGTGGTGTTAAAATGCTCTAAGATTATTAAATTTTCTGGGATAGGTTAAAAGTAACAATTAGTATTAGACTTTGATATGTCAAGGATACATATCTAATCCCTAGGTTGACACTGTAAGAGTATATAAATACTAAACTAATGGATGAGGAAAATGAAAAAATAAAAAGTATTAATCCAAAAGGAGAGGACAAGAAATAAACAATAGTCAGGACAACTAAAAGCCCATAATAAGATGGTAGATTTAAATCCAAGCAGATCTGAATTATATTAAATATAAATACTAAAGTTCAAATTAAAAGATGGATTGTTACAGTGGACTTAAAAAAATGCAACTATATTCTATATATATGAGGTTATCTTAACAAAAGTATAGAAATAAATAAATAAAAGAATGGGGAGGGGGCAAGAAAAAATAAAACAAAAGAATGAAAAAATATTAACCAAAGAACATCAACCAAAGGAAACAAATTTAGGAAACTAATTAAATAGACTTTTAAGGCAAAATGCATTATAAAAGATAAAAAGACACATTTCATAGTAATAACAGTTTCAAAACTACAACTGACCAAGAATGTTTAACAATTCTAAACTGTTATGCACCTAATGACATTGCCTCAAAATAAATAAAGCATAACTGACAAAATTACAAAGGAAAAAAGTCTAATCTAAAATTACAATAGTGAGACTGGTAGAATAACCATCCAACTGAGTCTAGTCAGCCTTAAGAATCATAAGAAAGCTTAAAATGGTTGTTTACTTAGGTCACTGAGTTTTGGGGTAATTTATTAGGGCAGGAATAGATAACTAAAACACCAATCATGTAGCTTAAAAGTTTCAAGTGTCAAGGTAACCATTCCAGAGCTTGATGTCTGGCCCTTCCTGTTTCCTGTTTCTATGTGCTTCCCTAGGATGTAATGGGCCTGTGGAAAACTGCCCATCTGTGTACTGTTTTCTCAGTTATTCGCTTTCTGCTATTCCCTTTTGTTGATCAACAACTGTACACACATGCAATGGCTCAAATTAAGAAGTGAAGTAAAGAAGGATATGGTAAAATGAGAATACTCATGCATTCTGAGTGGGAGTATAAATAAGTACGTTTGGAAGATATTCTGGTGTTATCTACTAAAGATAAAGATATATCTCCTTATGATCCAACAAGTTCACTCATAGATGCAGAGAAGTATGTAAATATGCATTGAGATTCATATGATTCATATACAACAATGATCATAGTAACACCATTCATAATTGCCCAAGGTTGAGAACTTCAACATTTTTATAAATATTAGAACAAATAAAATAAATTGAGACTATTCATACAACAGAGTAGCATAAACCAATTAAAATTAACATGTTACATGCAACAACATGAAAATATATGTCCACTAGTACAAGAATGTTCATAATTACTTTATTCATAATAGCCCCAAACTGGAAACAACACAAATGTACATCAACACAATCCACATGATATATCAATGAACAATTTGTAGTGTACCTATACAAAGAAATGCTACTCAGTAATATAGAGGATTACACTACTGATTCACCCAACCACATGAATGAATACAGTGATGTGCCGACAACTGGCTCTTTAGGGTAGGGAAACCCTGATTTGTAGCATTTGCCAATTTCCATGAGGTAAATAGTCCCACCATGGCCAATTTCAAGCTACCAAACTGAAGTCACTGCACGCAAATTTGGTAATACATGCACACAGTTGGCTCTCTCAACCTAGTCTGAGCTGGCTCTAGCATGACACTAGATGAATCTCACAGACAATAAGCTGTGCAAAAAGGCCAGACACAAGGGTACCCATTATGTGACTTCATTTATATGAAGTCCTAGAAAACTAATTTAAAATGAAAAAGAAAAATCAGAAAAGTGGTCCCATCTGGGGAGCTGGGGTGGGGGATTATCTGGGAAGAAGCAGGAGGGAATTTTATGGGAAGATGAAAATGTTCTATAGTGTCGTGATAAGGTTGTGCATTACATAGGTATATCCATTTGTCAAAATTGTACAGCTAAGACTCATACCTTTCAAAGCACATAAACTTTACCTAAAAAAAAAAAAAAAAGAGAAAGGAAGGAAGGGAGGGAGGAAGGGAGGGAGGGCAGGGGAGGGGAGGGGAATGGAGGGGAGGGGAGGGGAGGAAGGGAGGAAGAAACTGTAAAAAAGTTGTGAGATTAATTGAGTAGGGGAGTGGGGATAGATGTATAGAAAACAATACAGAAAAGGCAGAAAGTTGATAAATCATTGAAGCTGGGTGATGGGTGTATGGAGATTTATTACATCCCCTTTACTTCAGGTATGCTTAAATTTTTGTGCAGTAAAATGTTTAAAAATAACTCATATATAGATGAACATAGATTCACCAACGTTTTCATTCACCAACCACGGTCTTTTCTTTGATCGTAAGTCTTCGGGTTTCATTTTATCTTTGTTGCATAAACCGCCCCATGCATTTCTAGTCATTTTCCCTTTAAAGTAGAAAGAAAACTTAAAGACACATATAAAGCCATCATTGTGCAAAACTCTAGACTGTTACAACTTTTTCCATACAGCTTTTCTCTTTAACATGCCTTTTTTCATAACTAATTGGACAGGTTTTGCCAACTAAATTGACTGTGCCTGTCCATAACATTAAATTTAGTTGATATAAAATCAATAAGCCACTTTCTTTTTGCTCTTATGTTCACCAGTTTATATAATTTTAAAAGTGTATAATTAAAATACTAATATACCTGATGTTACACATTTGAGAAAAAACTCAAAACAAACTCAAGATCAACTAACCCTCAGTAAGAAAGAACAACTCCACAACTCAATTGATATGCAGGGGTGCCACTGTGCACAGGACCTTTCTAACCACTTCCCAGGCATGCTGGATTAGCTGACACTCCCTATTCCCTATATTATAGACACAGGCCACTGCCTCTTACTATTACAGTCCTAAATTATTTCATAGAAGTCTATTAACCTCTACTTTACCTAAAAACATACTATAGATACACTTCAACTAAAGCTAACTAAAATGTAATCAATCATTTTGTCTACTGGAGAATGTATCCTGAGTACTCATTTGCACATATTTCAGTCTTTCAACAGTAGTAGTTCTATCTAGCAATGACATTTGAGGAAGAAGGAAAGATATACTAGTAATTTACAAATTTGGTATCTCTGCATAAGTCATGACACAAAATTCCCCCAACAGTCTGAAGAAGGCTAGACGTAAAAAAAATCTACTGCATGATTTAATTAATTTAGTTATTTATTTATTTGTTTGTTTTATTATACTTTAAGTTCTAGGGTACATGTTCACAACGTGCAGGTTTGTTACATATGCATACATGTGCCACTTTGGTGTGCTGCACCCATTAACTCATCATTTAGCAGTAGGTATATCTCCTAATGCTATCCCTCCCCACTCCCCCGACCCCACAACAGGCCCCGGTGTGTGATGTTCCCCTTCCTGTGTCCAAGTGTTCTCACTGTTCAATTCCCACCTATGAGTGAGAACATGCAGTGTTTGGTTTTTTGTCCTTGCGATAGTTTGCTTGCATTATTTAATTTATATGAAGTTCTAGAAAACTAATATAAAATGAAAAACACTCAGAAGACTTTTCTGGGTAATCGTGAGTGGTTTACTGAGAAGGGACATGAGTGAATTTTACAAATATACAGAGAGCATTTACACTGGGAAACAGGACTCCAGATCCAACAATCTTATTACACATTCATAAGAATGGTGGAAAGGAAGAAAAAAAGCCGGCACAGTTCTGTCTGTTTATCTGTTTATCTAGCTTGAACTCACCTTACAAAAAGGTTGTTGTCTATTGCATTGTTGTACTTCCTGGAGGGGAAGTTAGAATATGAATAAACAATGATTTTTTTTGTTCCATAAGAGGCTATGGTCAGATATACTCTGGCCAATAAATATCCTTCCGTGAATAACAATAGGCCTTCCTCTTAGTCCTTTGAAAGACAAGAGAACAAGAGAAAACAACAACTCTATGACTGACAGGTCCACAGAATAGCTCTGAACACCTGTGCAGGCTGGCCTGGAGGTTCAAAGTTCCATTCAGGTGCACTTTTTGGAAAATCTATGTAATCTGACTCTCTCCGTCTCTCTCAAGGTTAAAAATACTTAATTTCATATGTAATTTCATATGTAATAATAGTAAATAAATTTTACTATTTATAGAGTTTTTAATTTGTGCCATGAATTATCTCATATGACCTTCCCAAAAATCCTATGGTGGATAGGGGTGGGAAATGAGACTCAGATAGTTTGAATAATTAGTTCAAATTTGCCAGGCTAGCAAGATGTAGAGCCTGATTCCAACCCACGTAATCTGACTCCAGAGTGCACATTATTAACCACTGGCGAGTCAATTGACGCAATGTAGAGACCTAGGGAGGAAATGTCAGCAAAGCGTGAGTATCCTTCCTTATGGACAGTCTTAGCCAGCAAGCTAAAAGAAATGCAGCCGACGGATTTTGGCCCAAAACTGTTCAGCAATCCAATGTCTCTAAAAGATAATGAAAACAAAAATGAAGTCTACTTTTGTTAGAATGAAGAATGACTGGCCTGAAAAACTAGTGGAGATATTTTTAAGTCAATAGATTCAAAATCAAACTATCAAAGGGAGCTCTGCATGTTTTCAGGCAACGGGAGTAGAGTGAGAGGTGAGGCTTGAATTTTTAAATGGTATTCTCCTTTATTTTAGAATATTATTATTTTTGCCCCAGTTTTCATGAAGAAAAGAGATAAATGTGTACTATTTCATATTCTTACTGCTTGCATCAGACATGAATTATCGGAATTTAAATGCCTTATGTAATACACAGTGGATTAGTGTATTTTACTACTTTGATGGTGTTTTTTTAATATAAATTCAGACACATTTATTTCCTATCCCTGAGACAAAAGAGCTATTGATAGAAGCAGAACACACATGTATGCGGATGACTGTTTATACAGATATGGTATAAATCTATATTTCTATCTTATCAAAATACAGACTTCTGACAAGGTTAGAAAGAATCGGCCATATTAAAACTATTGCCATCAAACACAATGTTCCAAGACCCCTAGGATAAATAATAACAAGAATAAATATTTTTTTATAAAAATGAACCCCTTGTCTATGATTTTGGATTTTTTTTCAAGATCGTATGTATCAAAAGGATTACAAGAGGCTAATGCCATAATCAGCCATATGACCTTGGGTAAATCACTAAGATTCTTCTTATCTTAGAACAAGGGAGTTGGAGTCAAGGCTGTGACTCTGAATTCTTCAGTCTTGTATATTCCAATATGGCGTGGTTGGGGTGAGAGGTACAATTTAGAGACTTTCCATGTGTTCCTTCAAACTCCTCATTCCATTTCCCCATTCTGCATGGAGGCACCTACAACATGGTAGAGGTTGAACCAAGTGAGGCAGTTGACATCTCTAATAGTTTGCCACTAGCATAGTATCTGTGTTTTGAAAAGTCATTGGACTTTGGAGGTATGTATTCCAAAGCACCATGTAGCTGGAACTGTTTTGATAAATCTTGTAAAAAAAATCCCAATTGAGTAGCAATAGGGAAAAGCATCCAACACTTACAGGAAGCTCCAGCTGATTGGGGATAAATGAGCTCTGTACTCAGCAACAGCTGCAACAACAGAGGGCCGAGCCTCGGTAGGTGGACATGCACAGAACGAGCTGAGCTGGGGCCTGGAATTTCCCGAAATGAAATCCAAGAACTGTTTAGGTTGACCTTCTCTCTCTTAACACAGTTGACCCTTAAGAAATAAGAGATGACACATCCCAAAGCACACCAAGTTTTTACAACCGCAGCTTAAAAAAAAAAAGGAAAAGTTGGAAAATGAATGGCAGTCCTCTTGCAATTCTGGAAGAATAAACTGGTTGATTTGACTGCCTTCTGTTTGGGGAATAAGCAAAGCGATTATTTAAGAATCATATATGCTGGGGCTGCTGCGGAATGCAGAGTTTCTAGAAAACAGATTTATCTGTCAATTATAAGCAGGCTTCCTGCACTGCAGGACCTGCTTCCACATAGCAGTCAGGGTTACAGTGACATAAAACAGAACACCATGAACTGTATTTAGAAAGGCTGATGTAAAAAATGCAGTGGGGAGGAAGATTGAAATGTTTGCAGAAATATAGATAAGCAGGCACAATATAAATGAGGAAATATGTTTTCTTCCCCCAACAGCATGACAGCCTCAACAGTATTTTCCAGGGAATTGAAAAAAGAATTTTCTTAGCAGGGAAAAAATAAAAGTGGTCATCTGCTGGCTAAGTATATAAAGACACATCTTAAGAGCTTTCTCTAAAGTAGGTTTCTCACGTGAAAAATGAGGCTGTTATGAGGTACAGCCCCTCAGTTTACCCATTTCCATATAGCCTAAAATAATGGGGCTTAGTGTGATAGAAAATAGTGGCAACTAAAAATATCTGTCGCAGATAAGGTTTCTCTTCTAGCCATGGCTGTGTCAAGTTACGTGGTCTTTGCTTTGCTCTGCTGCATTCTGATAACATACACTTAAGTAATTTTGTAAAAAAGCTATGCCTCACTTTCATAAGCATAAAGGAAATAAGATCAGTCATGAGGAACATCTGGCAGGAAGTTCATGGAAAGGGAATTCACCAGAATTATTCAACTGGGAGGGGCCTTGGAAGCCATTTGTTCTAGGTTTCCATATGTTGGCCTGAGGAACTATGTACTTTGTTATGTAAAAATCACGGAAAATAGAGGTCAGAGATAAAGTGAGTTCTATTTTCACAAACAGAATGTCTATAGATATAATGATTTTCATAAACTACCTTACACTGAGTGTGACAACATAAATAAAAGAACAGCAAAACTCAAAACAGTTTTGTTTTTTTGAGTCAGAGTCTCACTCTGTTGCCCAGGCTGGAGTGCAATGGCACGATCTCGGCTCACTGCAACCTCCGTCTCCTGGGTTCAAATGATTCTCCTGCCTCAGCCTCCTGAGTAGCTGGGATTACAGGTGCCCACCACCATGCCCGGCAAATTTTTGTGTTTTTAGTAGAGATGGGGTTTCACCATGTTGGCTAGGCTGGTCTTGAACTCTTGACTGTAGATGATCCACCCACCTCACTTTCCCAAAATGCTGGGATTACAGGGGTGAGCCACCACGCCCGGCTAAAACAGTTGTCTATGATCAATATTGTTTTCTCTCTTCAATTCACTCCAGTGTTTCTCTTGGTCCCCACACTAATAACTGCCTCATCATGGGCTCTGATAGTCATGTTACCAAATGCACACTCAGTTCTCAACCTTCATTTACTTGACCTATCAATAGTATCTGGCATAGCTGATCATGGTCTCCTTCCTGAAACTTGTTCTTCATTTGGTTCTGGAATATCACACTCTCTTGGTTCTTCTACTTCCCTACCCTTTCTTATTGTCTCTTCATTCTTCTTCTTCTATGTAACCTCTAAATATTGAAGTGAATTTATAAGAACTCTAAGTAATTCATCAGCTTAAGGAAAAACAAAAAGAAAATGACTAATTATGTATAAATTGGATATATTGGGAAAAATATTTTTTAGCAGGGAGTCCTTTTAGTGGCTGTATCTGAAAACAAGGTCATGAATAGACTCTGCTCCCACAAACCTCTAGGAAAGCAGACTGTTCTTATAATCATGTGACTTTTGCAATTTGGAAAGCAGAATAAACTTCTCCCTGGAGGCCCTTTATCTTATTCAAATGTTAGAACTTAACCACAGGGTGGCCTTAAAATTTGGAAACATAGGCACATGTTTGCCATTTTCAAGTGACTAAATCATGTCGTTAGTTGATGGACTAGGAGAGGCGGTCCAGAGTGATGATTTAAGGCTGGTGCACTACCTCATTGCACCGCAGTGGCAGGGTTGGATATCTAGGGTGCACCTTTTTTTTTTTTTTTTGAGATGGAGTTTCACTCTTGTCACCCAGGCTGGAGTGGAATGGTACAATCTCGGCTCACTGCAACCTCTGCCTCCCGGGTTCAAGCAATTCTCCTGCATCCAAGCGATTCTCCTGCCTCAGCCTCCCGAGTAGCTGGAATTACAGGTGCCCACCACCATGCCCAGCTAATTTTCGTATTTTTAGTAGAGATAAGGTTTCACCATGTTGGCCAGGCATGTCTCAAACTCCTGACCTCAGGTGGTCTGCCCGCCTCAGCCTCCCAAAGTGCTGGGATTACAGGTGTGAGCCACTGCGCCCGGCCACATTTTTATTGTAGTTTTGCACAGCACATGGAACTACATATTGTGGATGAGGCTAACACAGTGAACACTGTATTAAAAGAGAATATCCAGAAACTACTTATGTGCATTTTCCTAAGCTTGGAGATTTTATAAGCACCCTGTAGAATCCTCTTCCACTGAGCAATGCAAGTAAATGTGTCATGACCTACTCTGGCCTTCCAGCTCAAAAAGCTTATTGACAATATGAGAAGTCCTTGACTCCTGAAAAACAAAGGGATTTTTGACCTCTATAAAACTGCCCAGAATAAACAAGGAAATTGATATCTGTGTAGTCCTTGCTGAACACTATACATAATACTAGAAACTTATACACATTTACTCCATTAACCCTTATAAATTCACAATGCAGAGATGGTGCTTAATCATCATTATCACCATATGGAGTGGGTACTAACTAACGTTTTTAGGCTCCAAGAGGTTAAGGAACTAAGATTTAAACTCATTTCTTCTGCTTCTATCTCTTCTCCATGCCACAGCTTTTGTTCCATTTTTACAAATGTGTAAACAGCGGCTCTAAGTGATTGAAATTTTTACCTGAAATTATATGGCCAATATATGGCAAAGCTGAAATTCAAACCTGAGCCTTTTTGACTTTGGAGTACCATGTTTTTTCATCTATAGCAAAATTATTATGCATCTTTTTAAAGGCAGGGGCAAAGAGGGAAGATAGAGGAAAGTCAGGAGGAAATTCTGGGTCTGTGTCTTTATGCTGGACAAGGATGAGCTTGATGTGTTAAAGAAAATAGCAGATTTCAGAACATTCATTATTTTGTTTTTCTACAGCCTTGAGTAGCTGAGTTGGAATCATCCCAGAATTAGGACCAAATTAAAGTTGAAATCACTGCACAGTTATTTCAATGGACAGGAGCACAGTGCTAATGAGGTCAGGGTCAGGACTCCAGACTGCCCGACTTTTCTCTGTTCTAGCGCCAAAATGCAGAGTTCCCCCTACACAGCCAACTCAGAAACTCACCCTGTTGGTCACAGGCAGGACCCACTAAGACAGCACAAGTCAGCACACTTGTTATTGCTGCCAGAAAAACAAGGTCCAAGCTTATGCCCTATGGCTGGTGGGTGAGAGCCACTAGCTTCATATTCCATTCAAAAGAGAGCCTTTTATATTGGCAGAGTAACAAACAACATGAACTTCATCTGTGGATTCTATCAGATGCAAAGTTGCTAGAATGGTTAATAAAACATCAGAGCTCATGAAGAAAACATAATTCTCTGTGCTGCCCCTGCAGGGATTCTAATCCTCTTTGTGCCCATTCTATTCCTGTAGGTGCACAGAGTTCCCTGCAAAGTGAACTTGATCCAGCTTGAGATACACAACAGAAGATGTAGGCCACCCAACCATAATATACAGCAGCACTAAAAAAAAAAAAAATGATTAGTATTTACTTCAAAAATATTGAGTTCAGAACAAATTGCATAAGATTTTGAATTTTTTTAAGTGACAGGTTACTTCAGAGAAGGACTTTTGAAAAAAGAAAAAGGAGCCAAGTCTTTAGATCTAGTAGAATGTCTATTAAATTGGAAATGTCTGTTTTCTTTTTAGTTTTCCCATTAATGAAAAGAGGTCAAGAGAACAATGTCTTCATAGAATGGAGGGTACAGCAGGGCATTAGCTTTTATTTTCATATGTTAATAAAAATCAGAATTGATATTTTTCAGAAAATTACAACAAAACAATGCAGCAAATATACAAAACTGTTTTCCTGTTAGGAAGTGGAGCTAGCAAAGTAATGCATCTCTTTTGCAAGATTTCAGTTGGGGAACAAAAGCAGCTCTGTTTGCAGTTTATTTCCAGGTGATTGTAATTATACTGACTCAGTCTTTTGCCCTAGAAGAGGGCTGAAAATCTCTGAAAGAGACGACTGGCCTTCTAAGATTTTCTGACAATGGGTACAAGAAGAGTTCTGGGTTCTTTTTCACACTCAGGTTATATGAGGCCAGTGTCTTTAAACTAAAAAAAAAAAATAACAACTATTAGTTACCTGCACTGGAAATTACTGTTGAAGCTCTTAGGTTCTATAGCCTAAAACATACAGCCCTTACTTCCTGCCTTTCCTGCTTAACACATATATTATATTTGCACATGTACATTTATAGCCAACAGTTGATCTCCAAGGAGCTTGGTTGTCTAGTTAAGCATTCCCAATACTGATTGGACCGCACATCCTAACTTCCTGTCTTTGGCCCATCTTCCACTGTGGCATGGTTGTTCTAGCTATATTTTTCTACCTTGAGTTGCTGCCCAAGCAATGATAACTACTAATGCTGAAAAGAGTCATTGATTTCCTGTATATCCACAAGAATAGCTCTTGCCTACACAAAGGGAAGAAGGCACTAAGAAAGAAGGCACTAAGAATCTCTGATGGGCCAATAGTTCAGTCTAGCAATGGTGTGAATGTCCCAAAGTACATGAGACGTGTCTGTAGACATTAAGCACTGAGTTCAGTGAATTAGTCCCCTACTTACTAAAGAAACACACCCTGATTTAGGGATTGGCAAATGTATACCTGCTAAATATTTCCTCACTCAGATACTCTCTGCTGCCTAGAGGTCAGTTTGACAAATTTATTTGTGTATCGTGTGCATTTGACTCCTTACTCAAGGCTCACTGTCTGGGCCCACAGATTAATTACAGAGAAGCAAGTGATGGAACCAGTCAGGACCATAGTCTGTTGTTTTAATGTGAAAAGGGCAACCCCTCCTCCTGGAATGTGGAAACTGAAGTTCGCCCCATCACTAATTGAATCAAGCCAACCACTAGAGCTGAATTACCTGCTTACTAGAAAGCCTGGCTCTTCTAACTATGTGGAGAGGGAAAAGGAACCTGCTGTAACATCTCTGACCCAGTCTTATTTCACTGGGGAATAAGAAAGGTATTATTTGCAAAACTAAATGTTTAGAAGCTCGCTTTGAAATCAGTTAGGGAGTCTGGGTGCTGATGCATGCTCTGTTCAGAAGGAAAAACTAAGCAGGATGGACTGGAGGCCAAGCACTTCCTACCTATTTTTCCAAATGCCCTACTTTCTCACTCTGATTGTCCACCAAACCCCCCCGTTTCTTTTGTCTAGTCAACAAAAATAGAACTCAATGCCAAGATTAATGCCAGAAAAATAAAACTGGGAACAAAGGGAAGATAAAAGTTGGATTGTAGAACTTACATATTTGCCTACATATTCCACCCCCTCAATACTACAGTTATTTGTGTGTTGTAATAATATACCAGCTTCTCAAAATAGTTACTGTTATAAGTAGATAAATGTCATAAATTAGCCAGGTAATATGCAATTGGTTTTATTTTTAACACCAATAGACTTTGGCCAAAATTAATTAATGGGTTATTAATATCTCAGAGATTTTTCTTTAAATACATCAAGACAGCTTGCTAGATAATGATCAAAGCGGATACATTTATTGTGTGGGCTATTCCTTTGTATAAAGGACTAATAGGAAAGGCCAGAGAATTTCAAGTCACAATTCAATTCTAACTTTTGCTTAATTTATCTTTAGAGTTTGTGGTTAACTTCCCTTACAGTTTCAGCCTTTCTCTATGAGGATTTAACTGGAACCCTGTAATTTCTTTGTACTGTCATTTGTATTTCCTGTCTCAATAGCCTCACCTTGAAACTGGGCAAGTTCCCAAAGACATCATAAGTCAAAGTCAAGTTGAACTACTTTTCAAAGGCTTTTTTGGTGCCCTTTTCTAACCAGGGAACTTTTATTTACCTTGACTCATGGTTCCAGGAGCTTAGAAAAACCTTTGCTGCTGATTCTGCTAATACTCAATAACTCCTTTTCAAATTGCCTAAATGTTAAGTAAATGCCATCTATAATTAACTGAAAATTATCAAATGCCATATTTGTAGCACTTGATGCCTTTTTGACTTTTTTTAAGTTGATTTACAATGGCAAACAAAAAAAAAAAGCAGTACTTTTTTCTTTTTTAAAAAAAATCTGTAATATGCCACAGTTATCTGGCATAATTATGATATGAGTTACTCCAGTGATAGTTTCCTGATTTAGCAAGTTGACCACCTGAAGCTTCAAGAACTATAACAGGAAGAAATATGCAGAAGATTCTGGAGTCCATCTTTTCTACTTATTTGTTGAGTAACCCTCACCCCTTTAAGCTTTAGTTTTGGCATCTATAAAATAGAATCCACTTTGTGAACTATGAAAAACACCTGGCTCATAATAAACATGGATTACAAAATCATGTTATTATTACAGAGTTGTGTTCTACCTCTCCCACCAGATACTGGCCAGCCTTTAGAGTAGAAAACGCCTCATGCCTGTTGCTATAAGGACTGGTGAAGGAGCTGCCAGGCAGAAGCACTGCCGGTCATCTTTGCCTTTTTCATTGCTTGTTCCACTCTTCCACCATCAGTGGCCTTCTGCTCGCCATCCAGCGGCCTCTACCCTACCATCCTCAAAGCTTCTATTTTCCACTGGTTCTTTTTCCCCTTTTCTTCTTTCTTTTGCTTCTTTTTCCTGTTTTCCTTGGCTTCTTTGCATATACACATCACCAATTAGCATATCCTTTACCACCTTTTCCTTTTAATCAGAGAACTGACATTGGTTTTCAGTTCTTAAAAGCTTTCTTTCACCCCAGAACTTAAAGCATAATAAATAATAATTAAAGCATAATAAAAATAATTAAAGCATAATAAAGTAATTTAAAAATAATTAATTAAACAATAATTAAAGCATAATAAAGCATACTAATAAAATAGATTTAAAATTTTTAAAAAAAGAAAAGAGAAGCTTTTTAGCTTTCTTTCTACCACAATCACTCTTATCTCTCTTTCTATTCAGAACACTTGAGGGTGAAAGTAGACTTGATCACTACTTGCCTGAGGTTTTGCTATGTCTAATGCCAAAAGTCATAATCAAAGTCAGCTACTCATTTCTATCTTTTCCGCTTATTCTTCAACTCCATCTATCACATAACTGCTAAAAACATCAACAACTCTTTTGTGTATTAATGATGATTGCTACGTTCACTGAATGTTGAGGAGGTGCCAGTATCAAGCTGAGCATTTTAATTGTAATATTTCGTTTACTTTTCACCACAATCCCAGGAGATAATAATAATGGTGTTGGTGGAGGGGATGGTGATGATAACTCCCATTTCATAGAAAAATAATCTAAGGCTCATAGAGGTTATCCAGCTATTAAGTGATTAGGGGACAATAACTAATAAATCTTGCTTAAGAGTCTTAGCCCTTAACTCCATACTCTATACTTTTTCTTATAAATTTGTTAGTAAGAAGTCCTCTGGGCTGATTAAACTTTGAATCAAAGAATTCTCAACTGAGATCTCCTGTTTAAGAAAAACTTACAGTAACCATCTGAGAAAATGTGTATAAAAGTAAATAAAATCTGCCTTTCCCTTCCTATTGAACTCTGTCATCCATCTCCAGTTTAGAGACAACCACAAAAATCCAAGTAGGAGTTTATTTTAAAGATCCCACCTGTGGGTCACAAACCCCTGCGGCACTCTTGATTTACTGCAAAGAGTTCCCAAATCCATATGTACACCAAGCAGAGTACAAGTCTGTTTTCCAAGTAACTAAATAGAGGCTGTTGAGAGGAATAGTAGTACAAATGAATTTTTTAAATTTACTGATTTTATAATCATTTCATCACTTGTAATCATTTTCATTTCCTCTATCAAGGGATGACTAAAGTAAGTCAATTATCATATGAATACATGATAACTTATCTTAAAAGTATTTACACTCAGAAAATAGGTATCTAGATGTGATTAGATATGAGGCTTCCTTTGTTATTTTGAAAGGCAGAGTTGCCCAAGCAGCCTGAATTTATGTTGAGATCTCTACATTCTAACTTCAACTCATGCTTTGTGTGAATGGTATAGGTTAGTGGTAAAGAATGCTGGTGCTGAATCATAGCTCTGATACTGATGAACTGTGTGACCTTTGGCAATTTACTTAACTCCTCTGTTGTTTAGATCCCTCTTCTGTATGGGGAAAGTAATAACATCTACCTTTTATACATATTTTAAAAGGTTTTAAACATGACGTCCTTAGAATAGTCCCTGGCACAGAATAAGCTTTCAGTCAATGTTGGGTTTTTGTCTGGTGCTCTTAGTATTAATAGAAGCAAATCCAATCATTTGAAGGAATCACGGTCTGAATGGCAGGGTTACTCCCACTTTGGTTATGAGAAGAATGGTAGATTTAATCTAGCCCTGCCCCCTCCTTCCTTGGTGCTCCTAATTCCTCTTACTTGATTTCACATTTTTTTTCTTTTTTCATAACATTCACACTGTAATGTACTACATAATTTATTTATTGCTTATTAAGTACTCTGTACCCACCCCCTACCCCAGGTAGAACATAAGCTGTACAAGGGCAGAAATATCTGTTTTGTCCACTACTATATTCCAGACACAAAGAGCAGTGCATAGCACAGAGTAATTGCTCAATAAGTATTGGCTAAGAATGAATATAAGGATAATTTGTCAAATATCTTTCTCAAAATTTCCTACATATTTCATTTTTCTCCAGCCTTTTCACTGCCCTTTCAAGTCTGTTCTTCAATGAACAAGAAAAATAATATCAGGACTAATATTTTGGGGGCACTTCCTGAATTCCATGTAATGTACCCAGCATGAAAAACACGTCATCTCACTTAATCCTATGAAAACAGTTGAGCTTTAAACAACGCGGGTTTGAACTTGCAGGTCCACTTATAAATAGATCTTTTTCTGCCTCTACCACCCTTGAGACAGCAAGACCAACCCCTCCTTCTCCTCCTCTTTAGCCCACTCAACCTGAAAACAATGACGATAAAGACCTTTATGATGATCCACTTCCACTTAATAAATACTAAATTTTTTTTCTTTCTTATGATTTTCTTAATAACTTTTTTCTCTAGCTTACTTTATTGTAAGAATACAGTATATAATACATATAACGTACAAATAACGTGTTAATCTATGGTTCTCTGGGACAAACTGCTCATGTTATTAGCAAAGCTTCCGGTCAACAATAGGCTATTGATAGTTAAGCTTTTGGGGAGTCAAAGTGATACGTGGATTTCCAACTGCACAAGGGTCTGCGCCTTTAACCCCCTAGTTCAAGGGTCAAATATGAGTACAATTGTTCTCTTCATCTTACAGAGGCTAAGAGAGGTTAAGGCACTTGTCCAAGGTCACACAGATAGTTTAAGTAGGAAAGCAGGTTAGAGCCCCCAGTTAGTCGTACTGTGGCATCTGAGCTCTCCAAGTATGACTCTGGGCCTGGCACAGTGGCCCTTCCATGGAAGATGGAACCTGAGTCCTAAGGTTAGGACCCAGTCCCAGAGGAGATGCTTTATCTGCACACACTGAGAACAGAATCCCCAGAGTCAGTGAAGTGAAACTGAGGCTGTCTATGTTTGCCAGCATGCTAACATGAATTTTACGGTAACAATGTTTCTATCTTCCAGTTCATTGCATTTACTCTGCCATCATGAATAACCTATCCCAGTGCATGCTAATCTAACAGCCTAACCACAGAGTAATGATAAAATGAAATCCTGCCACATATGAGGCCCTGAATTTTTAGCAGCATTTACCACTCGATATTAATTAACCTAAATGATCCATGAAGATTTGGCTTTGCAAGAAGTTTGACTATCTGTGGCTGCAAGGTTCTGTAAGATTATGTGTCTGAACGATTGGGATAATTAATTCCACTAGTCATGAAGGAGAAGCTCATGGGATTTGGAAATGAGATGTGGGATTTAAGCATGTCCCAGTTTCTGTGGCAACTGTGGCTTCAGTGACAACCAGTCAGGGCACGGAGTTACTGAACTGCCATCACCCTTGTCTAGCCTTGGGCACTTCCAGATCACTCTAAGCAGAATCATTATTATATCTGAGAATATACTCATTTTACAGGCCTGTGTAGGATTCAACAACACAAGGTGGCATGTATTAGAGTGGTATCCTAGAGCTCCCAGGCAAGGAGATTACTTAAACAAATATTCCAGAGAGGAAGTGATGGAATTGAAGTTGTGTGGCAAATATTGAGATGCTTAATGAGCACAACTGTCCCATAGAGACTCAGACACAGCTAGGCTGCGTCTCTCTAATCATTTATGGCATGATAGTGGTGCAATTACAGAGAGGGAATCCCATCCCCACCGTTGCTACTCAGCAGGCAGGGGAGCCTTGATGAGACTGAACTGAATGAGAGTTCTCCCTATCATTATCTTTCCATTCCCTCCTTTAATCCAACTGATCTTAAATACTCATTCAATGGAAATGTGGCCTTGTAAGGATGAATGCTCCTGTTCCTCCTTAACTATTTCTATTAGTAAATCAGATTTAAGTCAGAGGCTTAATATATTTTTTACATATTTCACACACAAACATACATTAAAAAAATAAGCATTTTTGTACTTTAAAAAATATTTTACATTCCCCTCAATTATTGAATAAAAATGGATTGGCATTTCCATAAATAAAAGCTGGAATTAAAAGAATAAACTGGAGCTGCTGAGCAAAAGTTTATCAAAAAGTGTTTTTAGGCAAATAAGCAATAATAAGCAATCGCTTAAATGATCTACATCAGAAGAATAACAATTTCTCTGGGCAGCAGGATGGTAATATATATATTTTTTTTAATGCAGCAGTCTGATATACTTTTTTTTTTTTTTTTTTTTTGAGGTGGAGTCTCGCTCTGTTGCCCAGGCTGGAGTGCAATGGTGCGATCTCGGCTCACTGCAAGCTCCGCCTCCCGAGTTCATGCCATTCTCCTGCCTCAGCCTCCCGAGTAGCTGGGACTACAGGCACCCACCACCACAGCTGGCTACTTTTCTTGTATTTTTAGTAGAGACGGGGTTTCACCGTGTTAGCCAGGATGGTCTCGCTTTCCTGACCTCGTGATCTGCCCACCACGGCCTCCCAAAGTGCTGGGATTACAGGCGTGAGCCACCGCGCCTGGCCAGCAGTCTGATATATTTTAGTACTTATTTGAACTAAAGAAGCAGGGAGCTGCTTTCCAGTCATCTTGGAGGAGGCAGATTATTTTTCTTTCTATGCACTTAAGGATGCAGGTACCTTAGCTGAGGTGGAATGGTAAACAATGGATAGATAGGTAGATGGATGACTGGATGGATGGATGGATAAATGAATTCATTCACTATTTATTGAGCACTTTTGTTTTGGATACTAGGGACACAAAGTCATCAAAGATAAAAATCTCTGTACTCATGGAGCATGTATCCTAGTGAAATACTAGAGAGATGCTTGAATAAATCCAAAATGGGTATGAGAGCTCTTAAGTCCCTGTTAAGTTGTTTCACAAACCATAGAGTGCATTTGCCTTAACCTGAACAGACTCTTAAGCATTAGTATCTGCATGCTGTGGGATTATTGCTGCCATTGAGATCAAACTGCCTTCTATACTGATGAATGACATATCCATGGATGGAGCCAAAAATTAAAACTAAGGGAAAGTATTAAAATGAAAAGTACATTTTGTTCCTTCTCTGTGAGGGATAATACACATATCTAAAAAGTACCAGGTGTGCTCTGTGCACAATTGTGTCTGCAAAGCTAAGGAAGACTGGTATTGGTCAGGCCATTCATGAGAATATACTTGGATTTTGCTTACTGTAAATAAGCAAAAGGAAATGAAATTTTTCATGAATGTAGACTATGGCACCTATCACTCTCATTTCTGAAAGAAATTAGGCCTGCCTAGGAAAACAACCTTGAGGCAATTTTTTTTCCACTAATTTTTTTTTTTTTTTTTTTTTTTTTTTTTTAGATGGAGTCTTACTCTGTCGCCCAGGCTGGAGTGCAGTGGTATCATCTCAGCTCACTACAACCTCTGCCTCCCAGGTTCAAGCTATTCTCCTGCCTCAGCTTCCCGAGTAGCTGGGACTACAGGCACACACCACCACACCCAGCTAATTTTTGTATTTGTAGTAGAGACGGAGTTTCACCATATTGGCCAGGGTGGTCTCAATCTCCTGACCTCATGATTCGCCCACCTTGGCCTCCCAAAGTGCTGGGATTACAGGCATGAGCCACCGCACCCTGCCTTTTCCACTAAAATTTATGGTACAACCAATAAAACACTGGGACCAGAACTTCAAACACTAATATTCACATCATTGTATGTACATCTTCAATGGCAAAGGTAAAGAAATAGTAAATGTTTCTCTTGAACCTACATTCCTTCTTTGGGATTTTTAGGTAAAGTAAGGAAAATGGAGGGTGTAGCTCCTTTAGGACAGGAACTCTTGTGGGGCTGGAGGGCATGAAGCATGGGGGAGCTGCTTAGGAGATGGAGCTGGGTTTGTTGCTAATACCATGGTGAGATTATCTTGAGCCAGTTATTGTCCTCAGGTTTTCAAGTTCTGAAAGTAATTTTTGTCATGGCACATAGAGCTATTCAGGCCTTTCAGGACCCAGTTAGAGACTGACCAAACTCACAACATTTGATATATAAACCAGAATGCTATTTTATGAACCTATGTTAGAAGTTATCTCCCAGTAGGAGTTTATGTCTTCTGATGGGCATGAATATTCAGACCTCCAAATTACACATTAAAAAGCTTAAATGAAAGCCAAGGAAGTTGCATGATCTCAAGACAAGAGGATTCCACCAAGCCAAGAAATAAATGAATTGTATTTATCTAGGGAAATATTCCAGCACAGAGCTAAGAGATTAGGATCTAAGTGAGACTAGGGTTGACTTCAAATCTCATTTACTACCTCTGGTGACCTTGGGAAAGCTCACTCGTGTAAGGATGAAGGAAAAGAAAGAATTCTTTCAAAGCATTTAGTACAGTGGCGATAGGAAGCATTCAATAAATGTTCAGTATTATTATACTCCTATCCAAAGAATTGACACTGGTTTTCTGGAATAAAAATCTACCTTAATAGGGTTGTTATGAGAATTAATTAGGATACTCAAAGAATATTAACTATGTTTCTAGATTAAAAACTAGGATAGCTTTTATGAAGTCAAAACAACCATGCCTGGGTAGTAGTGCTTTACAGACACTAAAACTTCCTACTCTCAAGATTGTTTCCATAAGGAAGTACTGAACACCCTGGCATTACCTGAGAAAGATGCAATCCAACTGAATGGGATTGCTGTTTTCATCAGACACATTCCAGGCATATTGTTCTGTAGCTGGCAGCCCCTGTAGGTTTGGGAGTTTCCCAAATCTCTCAAGCAGGTTACTTTGACAAGGGTAAGAATATCTATTGGAGGCTACTAGTTGCAGCCTCAAAACATGCAGGTGGGTTTTCTCCTGGCCATTGTATTACATCCATTGATTTTCAAAAGATGAAGAACAACATCTACATGTGGATCACTTGAGCAGCTGGTTAAAAATGCAGACATCTGGCCGGGAGCAGTGGCTCACACTCTGTAATCCCAGCACTTTGGGAGGCCGAGGCGGGCAGATCACAAGGTCAGGAGTTCGAGACCAGCCTGGTCAACATGGCGAAACCCCGTCTCTACTAAAGATACAAAAAATTAGCTGGGCGTGGTGGCGCGCCTGTAATCCCAGCTGCTTGGGAGGGTGACATAGGAGAATCGTTTGAACCCAGGAGGCAGAGATTGCAGTGAGCCAAGATCGTGCCATTGCACTCCAGCCTGGGCGACACGGTGAGACTCTGTCTCCAAAAAAAAAAAAAAAAAAAAAGCAGACATCTTGAAATGGCAGGAATGGTGGTGATCTTGGGGCAGGGTGGGGGAATGGGTGGCCTGGGAAGGTGCCAGGGAAATATTCTGGGCTGGGCTGTTGGAAATGCTCCCCAGCTTCATCTGGGTGGTGGTTACACAGTTGTATACATACATAAAAATTGACTGAGCTGTGCACTTCAGGTGGGAGCACTTTACTGTGAGTGTGTGGCAACTCAATTAAAAGGTTTGCCCTTACCTCAGGCCTTTTGAATCAGAATCTCTGAGAGAAGAGCATGTGAATCTTTATTGTTTAGTAAGCACCCTCATATGATTCTAATGTGCCCTGAAGCTTGAGAACCACTGATCTATAAAAGGACATTTTCAATATCAAAGACTCAGAAAAATAATTTGGAATCAAGACCATCCCAGGAAATGTGAGATGAATGCCACAAATACCAGTATTCATAAATTCTGAAGCCTCGGAGATGTGAGGCAACATCTGTTTCTTGTGCTAACAGGTAGGTCTCTGCATGCAGCTCTAACACGAAAATTGGAAATGAGCCACTGGGAGGTGAGAACCCGCAGAGAGGAGTGCAGCAGGCACTGCTCTCAACATTCACCTTTGCAGCCAAGAGCCTCAGGCAGCAGGACTCCTCTATCCGATCTGATAAAGTCAGAGAACTGGTCAAGTTACTGGGGGTTGAATTACAATGCAGCACATTTGGGAAGAGCACTTGTCAAGAACATACCTCCTCTAAAATAAGCAGGGGTCTGTTCTGAAAAGAAGAAAAAGAATCTGCCTAATGGAGCTTTTTGAAAGCTGAGATAAAAGATTTTCTTCTCTGTAACTGCCTGCAGAGTGTCATGATTCTGAATGAAAAGCTCTGCTGGCTCACAAACAGATGCTCTAATGTTTGGGAGAATGAATTGAGAGAATATTCAGGGACGGTCCAAGATTGCTGCAAGGATCTGTGTGCTAAAATCTCCTTCTGCGTTGGTGTTATATTATGCTGCCTCCTTTTCTTGGCATTATTCACTGTTGTGTCCATAGGGCTGTATGCAGGAAAAGGCAAGTACACTTTACTTAGAGGGCATCTTCTGCCTGCATTTTTGCAGACTTGGGGAGGCTATGCCAAGTCCACATGCTGTAGAACAAACCACAGGACTCTGTTAACCACCTCTGTAGTTTTCCTTTTACAATTCTGAATTCTGGACTTAGGAAGTAGTCTTTGATAAAGGAGGGCTCTAACTGAGCAAATAGAATGAGAAAATGCAAATCTAGGATCTCCCCATGGACAGAATGGCTAAGGTTACAAGGAACAGGAATCCCCAGCACAACCTTCATTATTAATCTGCCCCAGCTTATAAAATGCCCTTTTCCCCACTCACAATAATCATTTCCTTCAGCTCATGCTCCACTACCGACAACACACCTGTGATTGCAAATCTATAATAACAGAGTGTAAATTTCCCTGGGGTATCTCAAGGTATTCATCTGTTGGCAAAACTGTGCTCTCCTCTGAGACTGTTGTATGTACACAGATATTTCTGCTCACATGAATTACAGCATTTTCCATCTGGAAAAGGCCTTGAAGATAAGCTAGGGAAGCTTCTTGTTAATAGATATAGAAACAGGCTCGGAAAGGCAAACTAACCCCAGGTTACAGAGCCAGTTAGGGATAAAACCTGAACTTCAGTTCACATCCTTTAGCCAAACTAGGATTGCCTTGATCACTGATACTTTGTCAACAAAGCATTTTTTTAAATAGATTTAATGTTTTAAAGGCAGTTTTAGGTCCACAGCAATATCGAGGAGAAGGTACGGAAATTTCCCATATACTCCGGCCCCTACACAGCCCCTCAGTCCTTTTAAGTGCTTAGTAACTCTGGGCCAGTTCATGAAGGTTAAACCAAGTTAATACCCCTTCCCTGTCTACCTGTCAGATATTTTTACAGGATTAGATACCAGACAGGAGATGATATCCTATCAGGGTCACATTAGGAAGGACTTCAGAAATGGCCCATTCTCCTGCAACCAAAACTTACTTGTTTACTTCTCCCTCAGCTACTAATCCTATTTTCTCCTTCTTGGGAATAAATCATGTCTCCCATTGGCAATATTAAGTTTCCTTCCTAAATTCTGGAATTTCTCCACCTCTACTTTCCTGGGATCTGCCGTACACAGTCTCTTTTAGTGCATAGAAAACCTACTGATTATTTTGAAACAGTCCATGTCTTTTTCTTAATATTTATCATTAGTTTTCTCACACAAAAGCATAGGTTACTTCGGGGTTCTTATTAATCTGTAGTTGTATTTCATCAGTCTCCTACAAACAGATGACAAAAATGTCCACACTATTCAGTAAGTTGAACATTTTCATTGCGCCCCATTGTCCCAGCAACGAAAGCACATGTTCAGGATGAGTCATCCATTTCCTGCCAAGAACAATTGGCAAGCATACTGTGGCTTCCTTTAGTTTGTCACTTCTTTGTCTCAGCCATTTAATTTTTAAATCTTGAATCACGGTGTATGATTTTAATCAAATCTGTAATTATTATAAGCAAATAACTTCTTTAGTTTAAAGACAGAGGTTACATGTGAAACGTATATATAAGCAATTCAGGAATTTAGCATTGCCAAGTAATGATATGTGGCTTAGCCCTGCTTGTTTTTCAAGAAGCATCAGCATGGTTTGTGGTATTTCCTCACTGCCTAACTTAAGATGGGGCATCTTAAACATTATTTTGATGTTATATCCCTCCAAAACTTTGCAATGTTAGCTAGTTTAGTTTTGATGGATGGAAAAGTCAAAACAGCAAGTCTAAGGTCATGAGGCGTCAATGAGAGAACAAAGAGTATAATCTATGTGAAGGGCAACTAGCAAGAGACCCAAAATCTAACAACAAGCAGATCTTGACACCTCTCATGATAGATCCTTAAATTGTCACCACAGTGTTCCCTACTTAACCCAGTTTCACCTTCATTAATTCCCATGCCCCTTTCCCTAAGTTTTCTCAGACATCAAGCAGAGCCTTCCATCTCACCCGGCCTCTCAAGAACTTCACTCTCAGCATCTGCCAGAGTCTACCTTCCTCACTTCTACCCTCCATTCCCAAAGAGCAAGAAGGTGGATATGTGCCAGAAAAAGGCTAGAGATCCTTTACCTCAGTCTTTTAATTTTTAATCATTGGAAAGAGAAGGAATGAGTTACAGGAGAAAGAATAATGGATTTGGTGTCAGAAACCAAGATGAAGTCTGATTCTGCCACTAATCACTCTGTGACTTTGAACCACTCACCAAAATGGATTAATCTCATAAAACTTCGATATCCTCATCAGTAAAGCAAAATAGCACACTTGTTTACTGTGAGGTGCAAAATTCGTCAAATGCCTTTATAAACCACATGGTGCCCTGTGAATGTAAATAGTATGATGTGGATTCCTCTAGCACTGATGGCGAAGTGGCACTGAAAGGGCTTCTTAGGCTTCATAAACGCCTACACAAAAACCGGTCTTTATGCCCTCACTTTTCCCTAGAAGTCTTCATTAAGAGAAAGGTGAAAGAACCCGGTATACGTGGGCTAAATAAAAGAAATTTATTGGAAAATTTCTTTCTACTCTGTAATATATATATTTTATTTTAAGATAAATAGTTTAAATGTCCTGTTAAATAAAACTGATGCTTTGGGAAGCTGTGATATGTTTACCGCATGGCTTTTTGTGCCCCTGGAACTGCGCCCCATGGTATCCTGGGTTGTAGACCTCTCCTTTCCCCATATGTGTTTCCATAGGAAGCTCTCAAAAGCTGTATTATAATCATCTGATTACTGGTCAGCCTCTTCCTGACAGGCACTTTGCTTTACATCTTGTTTCTTCCTAGAGCCTAGCATAGTGCATGGTATATTTTAAGCATCCTATAAATATTTGCTAAAAATAATAAATGAATTAACTTTCTCTTTTCTTTTTTTTTGAGATGGAGTCTCGCTCTGTCCCCCAGGCTGGAGGGCCGTGACATAATCTAGGCTCACTGTAACCTTCACGTCCTGGGTTCAAGCAATTCTCTGCCTCAGCCTCCTGAGTAGCTGGGATCACAGGCGCCCGCCACCACGCCCGGTTAATTTTTTTGTATTTTTAGTAGAAATGCGGTTTCACTATCTTGGCTAGGCTGGTCTTGAACTCCTGACCTCGTGATCCGCCTCGGCCTCCCAAAGTGCTGGGATTACATTTTTTGGGAGTAACTGATAAATAATGCCCTAATTACTATTGACTTCCACTGATAAAAACTGAAAAGGCAAAGTGAGAGACTGAAGAGTTAAATGGCTGGGCCAAAATTCTAAGTCCAATGCTGGCTTTGAGCTCTTCCATCCAGTGCCCAGACACCTTTCCCTGATCCTAAAGAGCCTGCCTCTCAGCATAAATATTCACTTTATCACTGGTATGCCTGTCTTAATGTATAAACACTATTGATGGTTTACTCTGTGCATTTAATTCCTATAGTCCGCAATTATAAATATAAGAGACTTTGTTCCAGTTTTTGTTCTACATTCCACAGTGTCTGTGTCACACACGAATTTCCCTTTGAAACCAATGAGCATTCTATGCCAGAAGATATCCTGGGGATGGAGGAGGAAGGGAGGGAGGGGAGAGAGAGAGAGAATCAGAGTCACCATCTGTTGACAATACTCTTGTGCAGAGCCAGTTTTGAAGGTTAATGACATGTCACGCATCCTCCAGCGTCTGGTAACAAAAATAGGCTGCTCTCCCAGAATTCGTTAGGGAGTTGTGGCCCCATGGAAGATGTAACTTGTCAGCCAGCACTCCAGTAGGGTCCAGGAAGACAATTTCTGCCAAAAGCTGGATGAAATTTAATGGAGATCCAGGAAAAACAACTTTTACTAAAATTCAAATGTGGAAGTGATCATTTTTCCCTGAGGCCAGTAAAAAGGCTATAAATTATTGACTTTCCAAAATGACCCTGCGTAATGTTTATAAGGAACTCTTGCATTTCATCGCAATTCTTCAATATACATCTACTCCTTTCTCTATTTCTTTTCAGAAAAATTAAGATTGTAAGCTTGTAATGCAAACAGGTCCAAGGGTTCACCAAGGATCTGCCCATGGTTTTTTTAGATGGTTAAATTTTTGGCAGTGCAGCTGATCCACGGCAAATCTGGGTCTCAGCTTTATTGACAGCCTACTGTTTAATGACTCACTTTGCTGTCTCATCAAGAATGCACCCAGTGGAAAGGCTACACCTTCTCAAGTGTAATTGCATGCTTTCTCCACATCTCTTCTGGGCTCTCTTTAATTTTCAAAGCCCCACTGAGCAACCTTTAAAAATCTGAGCCCTTTCCCACCTGGTGCTCGATGCTTTAAGAGGAGGTGACTCTGACTGTTTTTCTGTTAACCTAAGAACAAACTGTCTTGTCCCAGCATGGAGTAGAGTGGCTTGAACAAGGACGTGTAAAAAGAAACAGAGCAAGGAAACTGAAATACTTCCAAGCTCTTCTGCATTCTGTCTTTATAGCATGACATCATTAATATTGTTTGAAGTAAAGTTTTTGGACTATAGCTCTGCCTAACTTCAAATATAAATGTAAATTACAAACAAAAAACTAAATGAGTGTTTGATTACTTGCCAGCTTGGAGTATCCAATCCTCTCTTATTCAAGAGCAGAATTAAAAATAAAAGTTTGGTGGTATGAGGTGCTAAAATGATCACTCATATAGAAGTCAGGAAATTTGGGCCATTTTCAGGTTCTTCTTGGGTGACTTTGTATAAATCACTAACTTCTGTGGGCCTCAAATTCTCCAGCCCTGAAGTTAAATTCAATTTAAAAGTACATTTTTAGCCACTAAAAATATTTGTCTAGATCAGCACTGTCCAATAGAACCTTGGCCAATGAAGGAAATGTTCTATATCTGCACTATCCAATATGGTAGCCCTAGCCATATTGAGCACTATTGCATGTGTAAATGTAAGTACTACGACTGAAGAACTGGATTTTTACTTTTATTTAATTTTAATCAATTTAAATTTAAAACAAACATGTACCTAGTGGCTACTATATTGGACAATGCAAGTTTAATTATTTCTAAGGCTCCTTATTAAAGGTTATGTTTTGATGATTACTTTTTTTTTTTTTTTTTAAATATGGAGTCTGGCTCTATCACCCAGGCTGGAATGCAATGGCATGATCACTCACTGCAACCTCTGCTTCCCAGTTTCAAGTGATTCTCTTGCCTCAGCCTCCCAAGTAGCTGCAATTATAGGCGTGTACCATCACACCTGGCTAATTTTTGTATTTTTAGTAGAGACGGGGTTTTACCATATTGGCCAGGCTGGTCTTGAACTCCTGACCTCAAGTGATCCTCCCTCCTCAGCCTCCCAAAGTGCTGGGATTACAGGCGTGAATCACTGTGCCCAGCCTATGTTTTGATGATTTCTCAACCTAGCTAATGACCCAGAGTGAATCTTTCTTTTTATTCTCACTACTGTAAAATTTACTTTATAAATTATTTGATATAAATAATCTTTAACAGTAATTAATCAGTCTGATTAAAAAATAGGAACTCCACATGAGAAAGATAAAGCATGTGAAAGAATTTTACAAATTTGAAAATGCAATGTAATTATAAAGCACTCTTAACAAAATCTCTGTTACACCTAACTGCACACCTTTCTTCAAGTGCCAGCTGATGCACATAGACCAAAAGCTGTTCTATCTCATAGTCCAAACCAATGGAAATACCTTGATGGAACCCTGCCGAAGGCCAAAAAGCTTAACCTTCTGAGTACTTTTTTTCACTGAGGTTTAAATAAATAGATTTTCAATTTCTTTTCCCCTCCACCACACTTGCCAAGTGTTTCTAACTAGATGTTACTATAATCTACACAACAAAATCATTCTTATTAATTATGCAATGCCTTATAACTGTTGCATGCATTTCTGTTGCTTCTCAGCTTTGCTTTGCAGCAGCAGAGCACGTCGAACATTGACCAGAAGAAGTCCAAAGGGATGACTGTTGTTCACCAGAGGCTCCCATTTTGGTCTGAGCCTGCATTTGCCTTTCTCTACTTCTGTTTAATTCCTTTCAGCCCCTAGACCTCCTCTCACTGACCTTTAGACTCTTCCAGCCCTTTCCACGTGGCATCTTAATTCTACCTTTTGAGTTCACAACACTATCTTTTTTTCCTCTGGTCTGTGTTTGGCTCCTCCTTCCTGGCACATTTACTTACTTCTGTACCTTCATGACTATCCCTTGTAATGTGGCCCTGGGATTTTCTCCTGGTGGGGAGCCTCAGCTGGTACAGCCTAGAGACTATGCCTCTAGCCCCTCCCCAGATTCCTGAGGCCTAGATTCCGGAGACCAATGGGTTTTAACAGAGAGAAAAGACTTCTCCTACCAACTATTGTGCAACAAAACATTTCCTGCTTTATCTTATTTTTTAAGTGATTCCAGGGTCTTCTATAAAAGATACATGGCTCATCATTTGGGAAAAGTTATTTCTTTTTTAAAATAACTTTACTATATGCATAACCAGCACAAAATAAATGACATCAACATAATCAAGAGAGTGAATATATTAATCACCTCAAAAGTTACTGTGCCCCTTTTTAATCTCTCACTACCTCCCTTACCTGCCTCCCCCATCCTTGCCGTGGGTCCAGGCAATCCCTGGTCTGCTTCCTGTCACTGTAGATTATTTTGCATCATCTAGCATTTTATATAAATAAAATCATATGGGGCTGGGCACGGTGGCTTACACCTGTAATCTCAACATTTTGGAAGGCCAAGGCAGGCGGATCACTTGAGGTCAGGAGTTTGAGAGCAGCCTGGCCAACATGGCGAAACCCTGTCTGTACTTTAAAAAAAAAAAAAAAAAAAAAAAAGCCTGATGTGGTGGCAGGCACTTGTAATCCCAGCTACTCAGGAGGCTGAGGCAGGAGAATTGCTTGAACCCGGGAGGTTGAGGTAGCAGTGAGCCAAGATCGCACCACTGCACTCCAGCCTGGGCAACAGAGCAAGACTCTGTCTTAAAAAAAAAAAGAAAAGAAAAAGAAAAGAAATAATATGGTATGTACTCTCTGTTGTCTAGCTTCTTTCACTCAGCGTAATTATTTTTGACATTCATCCCTACAGTATATATCAATAGTTCATTCCTTTTTATTGCTAAGTAGTGTTCATTGTATGGATGTACCATACCAATGGATGATATACCATCCATTCGTCGTTGATAGGCATTTGGGTTGTTTCTAGTTTTAATAATTACAAGATAAAGTTTCTATGAATATCTACAAACAAGTCTTTCTGTGGACATTTGACTTCATTTCTCTTGGAAAAATACTTGGGAATGGAATGGTTAGACCATATATATATATATATATATATATATATTGGCCAACATTTGGCATACTCAAGTCTTTTTCATTTTAGCTATTCTTATAAGTAAATGATGCATATTTTCAGCTGCTTGAAGTTGTCCCACAGTACACTGACACTTAAAAAAATTTTTTTTTATTCCTTTTTGTCTCTCTGTTTCATTTTAGATATTTCCTATTGCAATATCTTCCAGTTCCCTAATCTTTTCTTTGCTTTTTTTTTCTTTTTTTGAAATGGAGTCTCACTCTTGTCGTCCAGGCTGGAGTGCAGTGGTGTGACCTCAGCTCACTGCAACCTCCACCTCCTGGATTCAAGCAATTGTCCTGCATCAGCTTCCCAAGTAGCTGGGATTACAGGAGTATGCCACCAGGCCCAGCTAATTTTGTATTTTTAGTACAGATGGGGTTTCACCATGTTGGCCAGGCTGGTCTTGAACTCCTGGCCTCAGGTGATCCACCCGCCTTGGCCTCCCAAAGTGCTGGGATTATAGGCATGAGCCACCGTGCCCAGCCAATCTTGTCTATCTTGTCTTTAAAAATGTCTAAGCTGCCGTTAACTTCATACAGTGTCTTTTTCATGTAAGACATTATAGTTTTCAGCCCTGTAAGTTCAGTTTGGACCTTTTATATTTTCCAGGTCTCTACTTAACATTTTTGCTCTAGCTTTTGTGCTATAGAGTAATACAGTTACAATAACTGTTTAAATGTCCTTGTTGGCGATTTCTAACATCTAAGCAAGTTCTGGTTTGGTGTCATTTGACAAGTTTTCCTCCTCATCATGGGTCATCTCTTACCACTTCTTTGCATGCCTAGGAATTTTTAAATTAATTCCAGACATTTTGATTTTTACCTTGATGGGTGCTGGACATATTTGCATTTCTACAGATATTTTTGAGTTTTGTTCAAAGACACAATTACATTACTTGGAAACAGTTTGACACATTTGAATCATGCTTTTGAGATTCATTAGGCAATACCAGAGCAGTATTTAGCCTAGAGCTAATAATTCTCCACTGCTGGGCAATATTTCTCTAAGTATTCTACCCAATGTCCCATGAATTATAAGTTTTCCCATCTGGGTGACAGAAATAGGCACTATTATCCTTGATGAACATTGATGCAAAAATCCTCAGTAAAATACTGGCAAACCGAATCCAGCAGCACATCAAAAAGCTTATCCACCATGATCAAGTGGGCTTCATCCCTGGGATGCAAGGCTGGTTCAATATACGCAAATCAATAAATGTAATCCAGCATATAAACAGAACCAAAGACAAAAACCACATGATTATCTCAATAGATGCAGAAAAGGCCTTTGACAAAATTCAACAACACTTCATGCTAAAAACTCTCAATAAATTAGGTATTGATGGGACGTATCTCAAAATAATAAGAGCTATCTATGACAAACCCACAGCCAATATCATACTGAATGGGCAAAAACTGGAAGCATTCCCTTTGAAAACTGGCACAAGACAGGGATGCCCTCTCTCACCACTCCTATTCAACATAGTGTTGGAAGTTCTGGCCAGGGCAATTAGGCAGGAGAAGGAAATAAAGGGTATTCAATTAGGAAAAGAGGAAGTCAAATTGTCCCTGTTTGCAGATGACATGATTGTATACCTAGAAAACCCCATTGTCTCAGCCCAAAATCTCCTTAAGCTGATAAGCAACTTCAGCAAAGTCTCAGGATACAAAATCAATGTACAAAAATCACAAGCATTCTTACACACCAATAACAGACAAACAGAGAGCCAAATCATGAGTGAACTCCCATTCACAACTGCTTCAAAGAGAATAAAATACCTAGGAATCCAACTTACAAGGGATGTGAAGGACCTCTTCAAGGAGAACTACAAACCACTGCTCAATGAAATAAAAGAGGATACAAAGAAATGGAAGAACATTCCATGCTCATGGGTAGGAAGAATCAATGTCGTGAAAATGGCCATACTGCCCAAGGTAATTTACAGATTCAATGCCATCCCCATCAAGCTACCAATGACTTTCTTCACAGAATTGGAAAAAACTACTGTAAAGTTCATATGGAACCAAAAAAGAGCCTGCATCGCCAAGTCCATCCTAAGCCAAAAGAACAAAGCTGGAGGCATCACGCTACCTGACTTCAAACTATACTACAAGGCTACAGTAAACAAAACAGCATGGTACTGGTACCAAAACAGAGATATAGACCAATGGAACAGAACAGAGCCCTCAGAAATAACGCCACATATCTACAACTATCTGATCTTTGACAAACCTGAGAAAAACAAGCAATGGGGAAAGGATTCCCTATTTAATAAATGGTGCTGGGAAAACTGGCTAGCCATATGTAGAAAGCTGAAACTGGATCCCTTCCTTACACCTTATACAAAAATTAATTCAAGATGAATTAAAGACTTAAACGTTAGACCTAAAACCATAAAAACCCTAGAAGAAAACCTAGGCATTACCATTCAAGACATAGGCATGGGCAAGGACTTCATGTCTAAAACACCAAAAGCAATGGCAACAAAAGCCAAAATTGACAAATGGGATCTAATTAAACTCAAGAGCTCCTGCACAGCAAAAGAAACTACCATCAGAGTGAACAGGCAACCTACAAAGTGGGAGAAAATTTTCGCAACCTACTCATCTGACAAAGGGCTAATATCCAGAATCTACAATGAACTCAAACAAATTTACAAGAAAAAAACAAACAACCCCATCAAAAAGTGGGCGAAGGACATGAACAGACATTTCTCAAAAGAAGACATTTATGCAGCCAAAAAACACATGAAAAAATGCTCATCATCACTGGCCATCAGAGAAATGCAAATCAAAACCACAGTGAGATACCATCTCACACCAGTTAGAATGGCAATCATTAAAAAGTCAGGAAACAACAGGTGCTGGAGAGGATGTGGAGATACAGGAACACTTTTACACTGTTGATGGGACTGTAAACTAGTTCAACCCTTGTGGAAGTCATTGTGGCGATTCCTCAGGGATCTAGAACTAGAAATACCATTTGACCCAGCCATCCCATTACTGGGCATATACCCAAAGGACGATAAATCATGCTGCTATAAAGACACATGCACACGTATGTTTATTGCGGCACTATTCACAATAGCAAAGACTTGGAACCAACCCAAATGTCCAACAACGATAGACTGGATTAAGAAAATGTGGCACATATACACCATGGAATACTATGCAGCCATAAAAAATGATGAATTCATGTCCTTTGTAGGGACATGGATGAAATTGGAAATCATCATTCTCAGTAAACTATCACAAGGACAAAAAACCAAACACCGCATGTTCTCCATCACAGGTGGGAATTGAACAATGAGAACACATGGACACAGGAAGGGGAACATCACACTCTGGAAACTGTTGTGGGGTGGGAGGAGGGGGGAGGGATAGCATTAGGAGATATGCCTAATGCTAAATGACGAGTTAATGGGTGCAGCACACCAGCACGGCACATGTATACATATGTAACTAACCTGCACATTGTGCACATGTACCCTAAAACTTAAAGTATAATAATAATAAACTAAAATAAAATAAAATAAAGAAATAGGCACTATTTCTATCCCTGTGTGAGTTATTGGTAGTTTTTCTTCTAATCTTTCTGTGTAGTTCTTTCCACAGGCAAGAGAAGTTTTCGCACACATATGTGCCCATCAACACACTCCTTAAAAATCGAAGGAGACGGCCGGGCGCAGTGGCTCACGCTTGTAATCCCAACACTTTGGGAGGCCGAGGTGGGTAGATCACGAGGTCAGGAATTCAAGGCCAGCCTGGCCAAGATGGTGAAACCCCGACTCTACTAAAAATACAAAAATTAGCCAGGTGTGGTGGCACATGCCTGTAATCCCAGTTACTTGGGAGGCTGAGGCAGAGAATTGCTTGAACCCAGGAGGCGGAGGTCGCAGTGAGCTGAGATAGCGCCACTGCACTCCAGCCTGGTGACAGAGTGAGATTCCATCTCAAAAAAAAAAAAAAAAAGGTAAAAATTGAAGGAGAGTCCAGGCACAGTGGCTCCCAGCACTTTGGGAGGCTGAGGCAGGCAGATCCCTTGAGGTCAGGGGTTCAAGACCAGCCTGGCCAACATGGTGAAACCCTGTCCCTACAAAAATACAAAAATTAGCTGGGCATGGTGATGGGCACATTTAATTCCAGCTACTCAGGAGGCTGAGGCAGGAGAATGGCTTGAACCCGGGAGGGAGAGTTGCAGTGAGCCGAGATCACACCACTGCACTCCAGTGTGGGCGACAGAACGGGAGAGACTCTGTCTCAAACAAACAAAAAAGTGAAAGGAGACCCTTAGCAGGTCTCTGGACTTCTCTCCTCTGCAGCTCTCTGTTCTCCAGAACCCTGCCCTGCAAACTCTAGCTGCTTTTGTCTTCCTAGACTTTCAGGTCCTCTCAACTCGCTGGGGCCACTGGCCCCACCTGCGACGTCTCTCCCTGGACAGCCACCTGGGAACTCATTCAAGCAATAACCTGAGGCAAATATAGAGCTCACCTTGTTTGCTCCCCATCTCCCAGGTATCACTTTTTCATCACCTGATCTCCAATGTCTTAACAACCTTTGTTCTATATATTTTGCCTGATTTTTTTTTTCATTGATTCAATTGGAAAGATAAACTTGGTCTCAGTTACTTCATCTTGGCCAGAAGCAGAAGTCAATTATTTCTTTTTGGCATAACCCCAATCTAAAGAGGATAAAAAAATAAAAAATAACTGTATCCTTATAGGAAAGTTTCTAAGGTAGGTTAAATCCACCCAGGCTGCCCAAACAGTACAAAGCTTCTGTTGGAAAGTAGGGGAAACGGAGTGGTCCTTTCTCAATGTTTAGGCCCATGAGTACAGAACTTTCTGGAACATGGTCACAGGCAAAAGGAAATAAGAGACAAGCTGCTTCTTAGGAGATGGATCACAACACAAGATTTTGAGCCCACTGGAGAAAAAAAGGAAGATATGGAAAATAATTCACACTTCACTATCATTCAAAGCTCCCCTCTTCCCTTCTCACTTTAGTTCCTGCCTCCATTGATACACTAAGCATTCTGAGCCTCTGCCATCTTTGCTAAGGTTCCTTTGTTCTAGTCTCTAGCAAATCTCATCTCCCTGTTCTCTTTTTCTTCCCCAAGCAAGAGCTCTCTCTCACATCATTTCGCTTAGTTAGAGGAGGGGACATTCATTATAAGTCAAAGGATATTGGTGTTAAGGGAGAGGATGAAGCTGTCTGGCACCTTTGTCAATTCAGAGGGCTACATTGTAACTGGTGAGGACTTTCTGATTATTTTTTCCCTTTTTTCTATCAAGTGGAAATGAATTACAATTTTAACCGAAAAACAGATGCCTCTGAATACCCAATTTAGATAAATATAAGATTGAAAAAAGATACTGCTTTTATTTCAGATTTTAAAAATGAGACTCCAAATAGTATCTGATCATTTTAGCACTGAGTTCAATGTTCACTCTTCTCTGACAGCACATCTTTTTTCACAGTTGCATAAGAATTATGGCAGAGAGTTAAAAGAAATACAGTAAAACTCACAAGAAACACTAGACATTTTTGAATAAATAGGAAAATGCCATAGATCAGGTCACATTCTCAAAGCATAGCGACATGCATTAAAAGGCCATTATAAAATGACTAACACAACAAACATTAGTTCTGACCCCAGTATCGGAACTATACACGTGTCACTTTTTGATCACAAAGCATCTAGTAACAAAAATACGAGGATTGTCTCTTCTTAGAGTGACCACGAATTTATTTCTAAATGAATCTATGGAACATAAAAATAAATAGCTAAAGATTAAGTCCAGGCCAGGCACGGTGGCACACGCATGTAATCCCAGCACTTTGGGAGGCTGAGGCAGGCAGATCACCTGAGGTCAGGAATTCAAGACCAGCCTGGCCAACATGGTGACACCCTGTCTCCACGAAAATTAGCTGGGCATGATGGTGGGTACCTGTAATCCCAGCTACTCGGGAGGCTGAGGCGGGAGAATCACTTGAACCTGGGAGGTAGAATTTGCAGTGAGGTGAGATCGTGCCACTGCACTCCAGTCTGGGCGACAGAGCAAGACTCAAAGAATAAAAACGTGAAGATTAAGTCCAAAGAAATACTTGATATCACGTAAAGTTTTTAAAACTTCACTTAAAACTGGTTTCATTCAAACTGATTTATATGTATATAGACAGAACCAATGTTGTAAAATACATACAAAGATAGACAGGTAGACAGATAGACAGATAGATAGTAGATGATAGATAAATAGAAGTCATCCACAGAATGTTATTTTCACATCGTTCTTTTCTTTGCATTCTGCAGTATACTGGGAAAGCAGGAAACAGTCAGGGCACAATCAGACTTTCAACAACAGTAACAAGAGACAGGATAATGTAGTAGTTTAGAGCACTGTTTCTCAAAGTGTAGTCTGAGGAACACCCATATCACAAGCATATAGGGCACATGTTAATAGCAGAAATACCTAGGGCCCTCTATGACAAATTAAATTCAAATTTCTGAGAGTGTGGCCTGGGATTCTGCATTTTAACATACTTTTCTAGTGCTTCTACTTCACATTAAAACTCGGAAACCCCAGATCACAAGCACAGACTCTGGAGCCATACTCCCTGGGTCCAAAACTCTACTAGATGGCTATTTTACTATGAGTTTGTCTCTCTGCATCAGTTTCTTCATCTGCAAACTGGAAATGATGATATTAATAGTATCTACCTACCTTACAGGATTGTAAAAATATTAAGTGAGTTAATGCATAAAGCCCTTAGAAATGTGTTGGGCACAGTTTAAGTGCTATGTATGTCAATGCAACCAGTGTAGTTAAGTCAACCATGTTCCAAATTACTACCTCCTATATAAGCACAAGAACTCAAAAGGAACAAAATTAACAAGAAGTTATAAGGAGTAAGAACACAAGTTATATCCACAGAATTCCCCTTAGCTAAGAGTTGGAAGGTTTTTGTCTGGTTTAGTTTTTGCTGGCAAAAAGACACCCTTTTGTGAAGCTGCACTTGCCCCCTAGAGAATATGGCAGCACCAAATAATTCTCCTTCATTTATGGTCAAGCAACATTGCTCTCCTTACTGCAAAGTTCTAGCTAGTTGTCTAGGAGTTGTCCTCTTCAACTAAAAGCCATGTGCCTCAGAACAAAAAATTATTCTTCATTAGGCTGTTGTTAAGACACCCTGGCTAGCACAGCGGTGCCCTGGCTGGCTACCTGCCCTCTGGACCTTATGTGACTCAGGTATTCTGACCTCATTCACACTGGCAGGAATTCACTTTGGCTCAGTTCTACAGTTTCTAGCAAAGACTAATTCTTGAGACAAATTAGTGGAGAAGATTCTGAATAAATAGCATTTAGAAACTGTTCTTATTCATAAGCCCTTGATTAAGAATGGATGGAGAGATAAATATAATAATCCTTTGAACAATGTCTCATTAGTAATTCCACAGGTTTGCTTCCACCATGGACCAGGATGTGATACATGGAGTAATGGGAAGTCTGGCAAGGCATGTTCCCAGTATCTTCTGAACCATCGTTTCAAATTATGAGCTTCCTCCAGCCTTCATTTGCTTTTCCATCCAGCCTCACCTCCCTGGTCCATGGCTGTTACCTCTTACTAGCTCCTTTGTCCCTCTCCTGTTCTCTAACCTAAATTCCATCCTGCATCAATATAAATATCCATTATGATAAAGCCCAATTTCCCTACCTTTACTCCAAAGCTTCATGCTCTCCACTCTCCTCTCTATATACAGTAAGTCCTCACTTAATATCATTGATATGTTCCTGGAAATTGCGACTTTAAGCAAAACGATGTAGAGTGAAAATTATTTTACCGTAGGCTAATTGATATAAACAATAGCTAAGTTTTGGTGGCATATTTCTGGTCACACAAAAACAAATTTCTAAATAAAGACCCCAAACACTTCTAATATTACACATTGAAATAAATGTGAGCTATATGGACATTTAAGAGAGATTAATAAAAACAAGTAAGATAATTATTTACCCATTATTCCAGTTCAAGGTGCAGATGGTCTGAGCCTATCCCTGCAGTTCAGGGAGCAAGTTGGGAACCAACCCTGGACAGGACGTCATTCCATTACAAAGCATACACACACATGCACAGAGACACACGTAAACACTCAGACTGGGACAATTTAGACACACCAGTTAATCTAACGTGCACATCTCTGGAATGTGGGAGGAAAGAGGCATACCCAGAGAAAACCCATGCAGACCTGAAGAGAATGTGCAAACTCCACCCAGACAGCGACTCCAGCAGAGAATTGATCATTTTTCCTAATCAATGTTATAATAAAGCCACGTTGAAAGAAGCAATGTTATTCGAGGACCCACTGTATTCCAAATACATTAAACACCTTGCTGGTCTCCAAACATGCCTCTGTCTCTCCCGCTACAGGTCTTCGCATATATCATCCCTTCTCCCTAGGGCAGTCTTCTCTCATACCCAACTCCATTCATTCACTTGGCTAATGCCTATTCACTCTTCAGAATTTAGCTAAGGCATCACCTCCTCCACTGTCTTACCTAATCCAGCCCCTCTCAATGTACACATTAATCAGCCTGTTTTCACAAGTCCTGTGTATTCCTTTGCCTCCCCCTTCTGAACTGTTAATCCTTAAACAACCAGCTTTCCACTAGAGACGGTATTACAATAGTCTAGGATCTGCTATGGATGACCCAGCTCAAGACAACCAAAGCTGCTTGTTCTCTTATGTCTTGTTCATCTTTGTACTCCTGTCTTCTAGCAGAGTTGTCACACTGACACACCACTCCATGTTTCTCAGTAATATGAAAGTGATAGGTTGTGACCATATGGCTAAGGGTTCCAAGTTCATGTGACTTGGTGGAAAGAATGCATACTTTGGAGTCAGACAGACCTGCGCTTAAATCACAGGTCTGCTGCTTACTGTCTATGATATGGATGACAACTTACATAAGCTAATTTGCATCTAGGTTGTAGATATGCAAGTGAAGACAATAATCTTTACCCTACAGAGACATTGTGAGAAGTTAGTATAATACATACCAAACACTTACCCAGTGCTGATAAAATGTAGCTTTTATTATTATTGTATTAATCATGAGAATCAGGATTTATTCCTATACAAATCAGATCAAAATCAATAGCAATTTGTAATCAATGTATTGCAAATACCTGAAAGACACTCTGAGATCTCTCTCAAATATCTAAGAATCGCTGCACACACCTAAAAGATACTTTTAGGATACTAGGTTCCTACAATAGGGTTGCAAATAAAATATATATGAAGGTCTTTCAATAACAGGATCAATTCCTAGACAGTTGGTCCAGCTTGCAGTCAGTGTCTTGTTGAAAGAAATTCCCAGATGTGCTGAAAGTAGTGTGATAGATGTAAAATGGTATTTTTAATTAAAACCCTTATTGAACATAGTGTGAAATGTTTCTACTTAATCCTCTGAAACCAACAGACAAAGCATTCACTGTTATCCCCATGTGATAACTGAGGCTTAGAGAGGTTAATCAGCTTTCCAAAGTTGCACACTGACCAAATGGGACATAGCCTTCAAGATTTTAGAAGATGTTTTTGATGGTAGAATTACTTTGTTATTTCTTTTATATGGTGAGATAACTAATGTTGATAATCTGTGAATAACTTAAGTCTCTCAGAAGTTTCTCAGCTACAAGTTCCTCTGCACCTACCCTGGTTAATTTTGTGATTTGAATAGTCAGAAGAGATGAGTCAGAGAGGACTTTTACTTCAAACTTTCCACGGGAGTGGGTGTTACTATGGTCTAGGACCTGCTGTGGATGACAGCTGAAGACAACCAAAGCTGCTGCTTTTCAGGCCTGCGGTTGTAGACTAAGAATAAACTACATGCCTGGCCTTGCAATTAAGAGGGCAGGCATCAAAGATGGCTGCAGATCTTCTTGACTCCATGGTGGCAGCAATAGACTATTTGTCAGTTTGGACTTATTTGCATTTTGTAGCTAACCTTGTTCTTTTGGCAAAAGCAATTGGTGCTCTCATGTCAACAGACATTAATCTGACTTCATGATTTTCTAGTAGGAAATCATGGCTTATTCTTAATCCACTAGTTCTATAATTCATTCATTTTTGCTAGCTTATTTTAAATGCATTTACTTATTTATTCCTTTATTAAGCACTTGCTATGTAGTGACATATTGAGAGCCATCACAATAAAGCGGTAAGAATGTGGAAGTTGGGTAAACACGGTTTTGCATCACACTTTTGTAATTTATTAGTTAATAACCCATGTTATTATATATAGGTAATAAGGGCATGAGTTTTAGATCAGGCTGACTGGGTTTTAAAATCTCAGCTCTACCACTTATGAAATCTGTGACCTATAACAAGTTTTCTTTTTTCTTTTCTTTGCTCTGTCATCCAGGCTGGAGTGCAGTGGCATGACTCAACTCACTGCAACCTCTGCCTCCCAGGCTCAAGCGATCCTCTCACCTCAGCCTCCTGAGTAGCAGGACTATAGGCACATGCCACCATGTCCGGCTAATTTTTGTATTTTTTGTTGAGATGGGGTTTCACCATGTTGCCCAGGCTGGTCTTGAATTCCTGGGCTCCCAAAGTGACAAATACCTTTGAGTTTAGCTTCTCTCCATAGTAAAATGGAAAGGATAATACTTACCTTATAGAATTCTTATGGAGAATTAAAATAAGATGTGAATATAAGGCACCTAGCACAGAACCTAACAGACAGTAAGTGCTCAAGATTTATTTCTTTTCCCTCTGACACTAGATCCCAGACACTGCAGAAATAAATATATCTGAGATTTACAACTGCCATAAAAGAGATAATAAACAGGAAGGAACTTAACATATTAAGCCCCTACCTTGTTTCAATCCATGTCTTAGGCATTTGCATGTGATGGTAGCCTTGAATTTAAACTGAACTCATCTTAATTTAGTCATTCATTCATTCCATTTGTTCACTCATCAATAAATATTTATTCAGCACCTACTATGTGCCAGTCATTTGCCTAGGCAGTGGTGACACAGCAATGAATAAGTGGACCAGGTCCTACCTTGAGCTTACATTCTAGAGATCCATAACCTTCCTGCCATACCTTGCTGCACAGATAAAGAACTTTGAAAATTAAAAACAAAAAAAAATATTATTTTCAACTTGGAAATCAGAGAATGCTTCATGGAGAAGCAGAAGTTTGGCCTGAACTTCAGAGAACTTTAGGGCTCAGAGTAGGCTGGGAGAGTGGGTGGATGGAGCAGCTTGCATCATGGCCCAGAGGCCGGGAAGAGCAGGACCTGAGAGGAAGCAGTGAGTTTGATTTTGTTGTCAGGTGGGGTGGGTAAAAGTGAGTAATAGGAAATCTTTTGGAAATGTATATGGAAATCAGATGGTGGTGCACACTGAAAAGCAGGCTGAGGAGTGCAGACTTATGTAGACCACAGAGAGTCATTTAAGTTTATTGAACAAGGTAGTAATAGGATCAGGGATAAGCTTCAGAAATATTAATTGGGCAATAATGTGTAAAATGGATTAAAAGAGGGAAGGACTAGAGACAAAGGAAGAATCAGGAGGTTGTTAATTAAACACTGCTGGTATGTTTGGGGTTTTTCTATGGCCAGTGACAGAAAAGATCACCAGCAAATTCAGGTAAATTTTTCTTTCATCAGAATTTGCAAAGGTAAAAGTGGGCTAAAAACAAAAACAAAAAACAGGAAACAAAACCTGCTTCATCTAAGAATGCATTATATAATATTACATAAATGACAAATTCCTTTGATATATGACAGATATTTAGTGTCTTCAGCAGAACAACTAAATTAAACATAGGAGTGGAGAAAACCTGAGACAACAGGCCTTATGGTATAATATTTAAATTAAGTTGATTCTCAGGCCAGAGCTTTAAAACATTTGCAAGCAAATTCTGATTCCTTGATGGTTTTTTTTTTGGTTTTTTGTTTTTTGTTTTTTGTTTTTTGAGATGGAGTCTTGCTCTTATCGCCCAGGCTGGAGTGCAATGGTGCAATCTTGGCTCAATGCAACCTCTGCCTCCTGGGTTCAAGCAATTCTCCTGTCTCAGCCTCCCGAATAGCTGGGATTACAGGCATATGTCACCATGCCCGACTACTTTTGTATTTTTAGTAGAGATGGGGTTTCTCCATGTTTGTCAGACTGGTCTTGAACTCCTGACCTCAGGTGATCTGCCCGGCTCAGCTTCCCAAAGTGCTGGGATTATAGGCGTGAGCCACCACGCGCAGCCCGATGGTTTTTTGTAACAAAATTTCTATTGTAAAATAAGAATAAAGTTAAACATTTATATAAGAACCCTTGCAAGGTGGCAAATGCCCTCAGTATACTTTTGGTATAGCTTATGCTCTTCCTGGTTGGTATAGGTTGAGAATCTCTAGTCCAGAAATCCAAAATCTAAATGATTCCAAAACTTGAAACTTTTTGAGCACTGATATCACCCTGCAAGTGGGAAATCCCACACCTGACCTCATGTGATGGAATGAAGACAAAATGCAGTCAAAACTGATTCACGAGCACAAAATTACTAAAAACATTAAATAAAATTACCTTCAGGCTATGTGTATAAGGTGAATGTGAAACAGAAATGAATTTTGTGTTTAGATTTGGGTCCCATCTCGAAGATATCTCATTGTATATATTCAAATATTCCAAAATCTATCCCCCCTCCCCGCCCACCAAAACAAATCATGAAATCCTAAACACTTCTGCTCCCAAGCATTTCAGATAAGGGACACCCAACGCGTAGTGCTGTTGTTCTGGGTCAAATTCTCAGTTGATGGAAAACAACCCATTCCCAGACCAGCAGCTTCGGGCAGCATTCTGCCTTCAAAACATTACCTGCCTTTACTACTTTCTCTTGGTTTCTGAAGAATCAAACTCAAACTACCCCAAATTGAGGTAATTCTCTTCTCTCTCCCATCCCCTTCCAACCCAACTTGCTCTTCCCCTTGCCTTTTCATTTAAACAACATTGATTAAGCACCTACTCTGTACCCACTTCCGTATGGATCATCGGGGTCTTGCTAAGTGCACCATTGGCCAACAGAATCTTGTAGTCAACCTCAATTTCTCCTCCCTCTGTCTCTCACATCCACTCAGCAACCAAGACCTGCTGAGTCCACCTCCCAGAAGTCTTTCATACTCATCTGTCCCTCTCCAACCTCACTGACCCTGACCTAGGATAGGCCCTAATTAGTGCAATCCTGAACAATTACAAAGCCTTCTAACTCCTCTTTACCACTCATCCCCATCCCCATCCGGTCCCTCTACAATCCAAGCTGTCTTGCACGGATGGATGCCAATGTGCAATCTTTGAAAACCTTGCTATTCAAGGTGTGGTCCGCAAACCACAGCACCAGTATGGTCCTGCAGCTGGTTAAAAATGCAGACTCTCACAACAGAATCTGCATTTTTAACAGAACCCAGATGATCCATATGCACATTTAAATTTGAGATGCACTGGCTAAAAGCACAAATCCAATCCCATCACTCTCTAGTTGACATTCTAGTGCAAAGACCAACAAATTATAGCACGCAGTCCTAATCTGGCCCACTATCTATTTTTGAGCAGTCTGTGAAGTAAAAAAAAATGCTTGGAAATAAATCAAAAGAAAAATACTATTTTATGACACATGAAATTTATTGAAATTCAAATTTCAGTGCTTAGTTTGATTGGAACACAACTATGCCCATTCATTTATATGAGAGGAGTCTTTTAAAAGTTTATGGAAAATGCGTATTATGAAAAAAACTATGCATGGAGTTCAAATTTTTTTGCACCAAAATAAACTCATGCCAACTGGTTACAACATATCTGAAAAGGATCTAGTTTGAGGCATAAACAAGGATACGATGTTGGTTTGAAAAGAGCCTCTATAAGAACAATATGAATTCTGCTAAAATTGAAGCAAAAACAAACATCAGATTTATGGTGAAGCTTGGGTGGAAGAATGATGAAATCACTGATGCTTTATGAAAAGTTTACAGGACAATGCCCCAAAGAAATCAGCAGTTTACAAATGGATCACTCATCCTAAGAAGGGATGAGATGATGTTGAAGATGAAGCCAGCAGCAGCAGATCATCTACATCAATTTGTGAGGAAAAAATTTATCTTTTTTCCTGCCTTAATTGAAGAGAACTGATGATTAACAGTAGAAACAACAGCCAATATCACAGACATCTCCATTGGTTCTGTTTACACAATTCTGACTGAAAAATTAAAGTTGAACAAACTTTCCACTCAATGGCTGCCAAAATGATTGCACCCAGATCAGCTGTAGACAAAAGCAGGGGTTTCAATGGAAATTTTAAGCATGCAGTATCAAGATCCTGAAGCATTTCCTCTAAGAATTGTAACAGGAGATGAAACAAGGCTCTACCAGTACAATCTTGAAGACAAAGCACACTCAAAGCAATGGCCACCAAGAGGTGGAGGGGGGCCAGTCAAAGCAAAAGTGAATCGGCCAAGAACAAAGGTCATGGCAACAATTTTGGGGGGATGCTCAAGGCATTTTTCTTGTTGACTTTCTGAAGTGTGAAAGAACAATAATATTTTCTTATTTTTATTTTTTTTGAGATGGAGTTTCACTCTTGTTGCCCAGGCTGGAGTGCAATGGGGCAATCTCAGCTCACCAGAACTTCCACCTCCCAGGTTCAAGCAATTTTCCTGTCTCAGCCTCCCAAGTAGCTGGGATTACAGGCACGTGCCACCATGCCCAGCTAATTTTGTATTTTTAGTAGAGACGGGTTTTCTCCATGTTGGTCAGGCTGGTCTCAAACTCCTGACCTCAGGTGATTCGCCCCCCTCGGCCTCCCAAAGTGCTGATATTACAGGTGTGAGCCACCGCACCCGCCCATAATATCTTCTTATTATGAGAGTATTTTGAGAAAGTTAGCCAAACCTTTGGCAAAAAAACACTCAGGAGAGCTTCACTAGAATCCTTTTCTACCACGACTATGCACCTGTTTATTCCTCTCATCAAACAAGGGCCATTTGCAAGAGTTTCAGTAAGAAATCATTAGGCTTCCATCTTACAGTCATGATTCAGTTCCTTCTGAATTCTTTTTGCCTCCTAATCATAAAAAAATCTTTAAAGGCACCCATTTTCCTTCAGTTAATAATATAAAAAACATTACTTTGACATGGTGAATTCCCAGGACTCCCAGTTTTTTAGAGATGAACTTAATGGCTGGTACCATCACTTACAAAAATGTCTTGAACTTGAAGCTCATGCTGAGAAGAAAACTTATATTTTTAATTTTTATTTTTTCATTCAATTTTTCATGCACTTTTTGAAATCCCCTCATTTATTGTCAGTGGTTGCTTTTGCATACAGTGGCAGAGTTGAGTAGTTATGACCGAGACTGTATGATCAGTAAATTCTAAAATGTTTACTATCTTGCCCTTTAGAGAAAAAGTTTTTTGGCCCTTGTTCTAGGGAGAACACATATGTAATTTTTTTAAAAACAGAGCTGGACATCCCAATTACTCTGGTTTGATAACTACACATTGTAAATAGGTATCAAAATATGACATATGTCCCAAAAATATGTACAACTATTAAAAGTCAATTAAAAAAATAAACACAAGTTATGAGCTATGAAGACAAGAAATAAAGACTTGAATAAAGTGTTTCCTCTCTTTTGTACCCACAGCAGGTGCTGATACCCTTCTATGATCCCACATGTTACATTATTGGTACAGTCTTCGCCGAGTGAGGAAAAGAATCAAATACATTCCTCCCATTTCATGGCAGCTGATTTTTCCCCTTGGAAGGACAGAGGGGTAGGTTCTAAACATGATGAGAGGAGCAAGATCATCTGGGTGTTCAGAGATGAGAAGGAAATCAGGGAGGATTTGAGGGTCAGTAATTTTATGGGCACTTTCCACTCAGGTCCTTATTCCTACAGCTGAAAAAAGAGGGGGAAAAGGCATCTTCTGGCTCTGCAGAGCTAAATAAATACTCCCACCATTGGGCAATAATTCTTCCGTTGAAAGGAATGTCTGAAGATTCCAAAATTCAATGCTTTAAATATCAACAGCCACTCACCTGCAGACCTTTACACATTCCCTGATTTTATGGCTATGTAAGACATTAAAGATATCATTTCAGACCTTGTTTTCCAATGCAGATCCTTTTGGAATAACCCTGTCAGAACTGTTTCCAGTGGTTTGCTCTTTGCTTAATTGATACATTCCTTCAGAGTCACTAAAGCAGGTGTGAAAAATAGTTCAAATTCCAATTCCATGCCAGAATGAGAAAGAAGTGAAAGCCCATAGATCAAAAAGCTTCCAGAGACATTGTAACAGAGGCACTGAACATGTAAAGTCCAGAAAGTAGTTGCCTTTCCACCCTTCTTCCCTTATCCCTAGCTTCACATTTTCTGGAACAGTTAACTACATGATTTTGCATTCACTTAATAAAAAAAAGGTGTTACCAGCTGACAGTTGAGGTTGTTCAATGTGCCAAGTACTACGGTAGATCCCTGGGTTACAATAGTAAATAAGATATTGTTCCTGTCCTGGAGAAGATAGCAGCTATATGGGAAAGGCAGATGCAGAGGCAGACACTTACAAACCAGTGTTTTCAGGGCTACGGTTCAGAGTGAGTATGAACACAGAGAAACACGCAGCTCAAGCTCATGAGATTAGAAAGGTTTCCCAGAGGGGATGTCTGAGCTGAGTTCTGAAGGACATGTAGAAGTCAGCCAGATACAAGGCTGGAGGTTAAGAGTAGAACAGGTATTCAAGGCACAGAAATATCAAAGATGAGGGATCATGGCTCATGTGAGCTGCAGGACAGTAGAAGATAAGAAAAGGGTTGAAAAAGTGGAGAGGAGAAAGGCTGGTGGGTTCAGGAAGAGGATGACCTGTGTGCCATACCCCCAGAGCTTAGACTCCATACTGAGGACAAAGGGGGCTTATTGTAGGGTTGTTGGTGAGGCAGCATGATCAGAGTTGTATTTCAGAAAGCAAATTCTAGCTGCGGTGTGGAGAAAGCACTGAAGAAAAGCAAGATTGGAGGTAAGGAGAATTAAGAGAATGCTGCAGGGGAGAAATGGTGCTGACTCAAACCATGGTGAAGATAAGGGTGGCAGAAAATAATAAGGCAAAGCCCACCATATACAGCCATACAGAAAGCCATGCCCTGCACCAAGCAGTTTCCCAAGGGGCAGATGGTTGTTGAAGATCAGACTGTGATCTCCTGGCCAAGCACTGTGGCCCAGCAGGAGGAAGAAGGAAACCCTTTTTTTATTCATCAGCTAGACAAGGTACCATTTCGTTATTCTCACAAAGTCACCATATATATGCGCAGCATTAAAGGCCCTGCCAAAGATGAGTACACTCTAGAGAATTTTGAGGAAGAAAACAGTTGATCAGATACAGCAGTTAGAGAAAGAGCATTCAAAGAGGATACCAAACTGTTTGGCCCTATTACCTTGACATTTACTAAGGCAGGAAATGCTTTCTCGGGCTAAATCAGTTCCGTTTTACCTGTTCAATCCAATTCCTTTTTTGCTATCATGAATTTCTTAAACAAATTCAAATAACTTTATTCAAACAAAAAAGAAATACATTTGATTCATATTTAATAATGTTCACTTTTTATTTAATTAAAATTTTTCTTTGGAGGTAATAGTAGATTCACATACAATTGTGAGAAATAATGCAGAGAGATCCTACATTCCTTTTACTCAGTTTTCCCAAACTTGTAAACTATGGTACAACACCACAACCAGGATACTGACATTGATAGTATCAAAATACAAAACATTTTCATCACCACAAGGATCCCTCATGTCGCCCTTTTAAGAATGTGAATGCAGAAAATCTGAGACAGGTCTCAGTTAATTTAGAAAGTTTATTTTGCCAAGGTTGAGAACACACCCGAGACACAGCCTCAGGAAGTCCTGACGACAAGTGCCCAAGGTGGCCAGGGCACAGCTTGGTTTTATACATTCCAGGGAGACATGAGACATCAGTCAATACATGTAAGAAGTACACTGGTTCACTCTGGAAAGGTGGGACAACTCAAAGCAAAGGCAGAAATACTGGAAGTCGGGAGGCAGCTTCCAGGTCACAGATTGGTGATACACAACCAGTTACTTTCTTTTGAGTTTCTGATTAGCCTTTCCAAGAGAGGCAATCACACATGCATCTATCTCAGCAGAGGGGTGACTTTGAATTGAATGGGAGGGAGGTTTGCCCTAAGCAGTTTCCAGCTTGAGTTTTCCTTAGTCATTTTGGGGGCCCAAGACATTTTCCTTTCACAACCTCTAATTTCTTACCCATTTCTATAATTTTGTCACTACAAGAATATTATATAAATGGAATAATGGAGTATGTACCATTTGGGATGGATTTTTTAAAAAAAACTCAGCATAAACTGGGTGCGGTAGCTCACGCCTGTAATCCCAGCACTTTGGGAGGCCGAGGCTGGTGGATCACCTGAGGTCAGGAGTTCAAGACCAGCCTCAACATGGAGAAACCCCATCTCTACTAAAAGTACAAAATTAGCCGGGCGTGGTGGTGCATGCCTGTAATCCCAGCTTCTCGGGAGGCTGAGGCAGGAGAATTGCTTGAACCTGGGAGGCGGAGGCTGCAGTGAGCCGAGATTGCGCCATTGCACTCCAGCCTGGGCAACAAGAGCGAAACTCCGTCTCAAAAAAAAAAAAAAAAAAAAAACCTCAGCATAATCCTTTGGTGATTCATCCAGATTGTTGCATGTATCAGTAACTCATTTCTTTTTATTTATAAGTAGTATTCCATGGTACTGATATACCACAGTTTGACCATTCATCTGTTGAAGAATATCTGAGTCATTTTTAGTTACGGGCTATTATATATAAAGCTGATTTAAACATTTGTGTACAGGTTTTGTGTGTGAGCATAAGCTCCCATTTTTCTGGGACAAATTCCCTGGAGTACAATTACTGAGCCATATGGTAATTACATGTTTAGTTTTAAAGGAACTGCAAACTGTTTTCCAGAATCTCTGTAGCATCAGCAATGTAACAATGATCCAGTTTCTCTACATCCTTGCCAGCACTGGGTGATGTCACTGAAACTGCCTTTGCAAAATTATAACTGAGGAAATTATGACAGTGAAAGAAATCAGACCTAACTGACTCTATCTTACTTATAAACCTTCAGCTGTCCTTGCTCATTGCTGGGTGCAGGCCAAACTAACTTTGGGAAAGAACTCAGTTCATGTTTTGACTCTAAAACAAAATTGATAACAGCCGTTTCCGAAAAGACCCCCTTCTTGCCTGATGTCCAGTCTTTGCAGGACTAACAAATTAGCTACAAGATTAGAAATGACAATTTAGGGGTCATGCAGCCTCTGGCTCCAAGAGTCTAAACCTCCCCAAATTGCTTCTGGGAATAACATCACTATTGTAAAGCTTAAGATCAGTGCTTGAGATATTTTGCAGACCCTGCACTTGACGGATCAGCTGACACCATCCAGACTGGTAATCTGGCCCAACCCGTTCTGCCATCCTACCCAGGAACAGAAGACGTTAAGAAAAACTCACTTCAACCCCCTTTGATTCCATTTCCAACCTGACCAATCAGCACTCCCCACTTTCCAAGCCCCTACCCGCCAAATTATCTTTTAAAACTCTGATCTCCGAGATCTAATTAAACTAAAGAGCTTCTGCACAGCAAAAGAAACTACCATCAGAGTGAACAGGAAACCTACAGAATGGGAGAAAATTTTTACAATCTACCCATCTGACAAAGGGCTAATATCCAGAATCTACAAAGAACTTAAACAAATTCACAAGAAAAAATCAAACAACCCCATCAAAAAGTGGCTGAAGTATATGAACAGACACTTCTCAAAAGAAGACATTTATGCAGCCAACAGACACATGAAAAAATGCTCATCATCACTGGCCATCAGAGAAGTGCAAATCAAAACCACAATGAGATACCATCTCACACCAGTTAGAATGGTGATCACTAAAAAGTCAGGAAACAACAGGTGCTGGAGAGGATGTGGAGAAATAGGAACACTTTTACACTGTTGGTGGGACTGTAAACTAGTTCAACCATTGTGGAAGACACTGTGGCGATTCCTCAAGGATCTAGAACTAGAAATACCATTTGACCCAGCCATCCCATTACTGGGTATATACCCAAAGGATTATACATCATGCTGCTATAAAGACACATGCACACGTATGTTATTGTGGCACTATTCACAATAACAAAGACTTAGAATCAACCCAAATGTCCATCAATGATAGACTGGATTAAGAAAATGTGGCACATATACACCATGGAATACTATGCAGCCATAAAAAAGGATGAGTTCATGTCCTTTGCAGGGACATGGATAAAGCTGGAAACCATCATTCTGAGCAAACTATCGCAAGGACAGAAAACCAAACACCACATGTTCTCACTCATAGGTGGGAACTGAACAATGAGAACACGTGGACACAGGGTGGGGAACATCACACACCAGGGCCTGTCATGGGGTTGGGGGAAGGTGGAGTGTTAGCATTAGGAGATATACCTAATGTAAATGATGAGTTACTGGGTGCAGCACACCAACATGGCACATGTATACATGTGTAACAAACCTGCACGTTGTGCACATGTACCCTAGAACTTAAAGTATAATAAAAAATAAAATAAAATAAAAATAAAACTCTGATCCCCAAATGCTTGGGGAGACTGATTTGAGTAACAATAAAACTCTGGTCTCCGGCACAGCTGGCTCTGCGTGAATTACTCTTTCTCCATTGCAATTCCCCTGTCTTGATAAATTGGCTCTGTCTAGGCAGAGGGAAAAGTGAACCCATTGGACGGTTACATCATTAATTTTTTTTTTTTTTTTTTTAGCCATTGATAGATGTACTGTATGGTTTTAATTTAATTTAAATTTTAAATTCACTATGGTTTTAATTTGCATGTTCCTAACGGCTGACGATGTAGAACATCTTTTCATGTGCTTATTTGCCTTCTGTATATCTTTTCAGTGAAATGTTTCATGTCTATTATCTATTTCCTAATTGGATTGTTTACTTTGTTTACTGTTACATTGTGAGAATTTTAAGATTTCATTTTTATTCTTTGTCTGTCCTGGTTTTATTTATGATACGTCTGAGACAACATGGTATAGGTTGAAGAAAGTAAGTTTTATCGTGGGACAAACTATGAATCCCAGCTCTTCTCAGCTTCAGAACATTCACCCGTAAATTGGAGATGATAATGCTGTATTGTAGGGTGGCGATAAAAGGCAGTGTATATACAAACCACCTAACCTAGTATCTAATATATACAATGTAGATACTCAATACATGTAGCTACTATTTTATTATTTATTGATCAGATCAAACATTCTGTAGCTTATTTCTTTTTCCACTACCATTCTCTCAAGTCTTATGGTCCTGTCTTCCTTCCTTTTATACTGCCAACATTACAATAGTCAATACCTTCTAAAAGTACTTGCCGAGTTGCATACAGATCCTTCTACCTAAAGAACATCTCAAATGTGCATGTTCAGCTAATAACACTCCATTAATAATTATAAAAACATATCTAAAATACAACTCCTTAAAAACAATATTAGGGTACTGGGTTTACTACCTGGGTGATGTAATAATATGTACAACAAACTCCCATGACACATGTTTATCTATGTAACAACAAACCTTCACATGTACCCCCAAACCTAAAATAAAAATTAAAACAAATAATAAATTTTAAATTATGAGTATTGACAATACATGTGCTTATTTGGGAGTATTTCCCGAAATTTATCAGAAAACAAAGGAAGATAAAGGAAGAAGAATCCAGATCTTGTTAAACCATGTAGCTTACATGGTTTTTCATAAGCTGTAATTTTATCTTACATAGTTTCATTTAGAGGGCATTAAATGTACACTGCGTGGCTGGGCCTGTGTTGGATAATTTACGGACATTTTAAACAAAAAGAAAGCATGACTCCTCCTTCTGGGAAGTAGGACTTCATTTTCTATTTCCAGTTGGAAACTTTGAAAAGTTGAATTTTATTTCAATAGGACAGCATTTACTGAGATATTTAGGTAGGAAGCAAGATCTTAGCCAAGAACTGCTAGTTAATCTTCAGCAGCTTATACATAAAAAGATATTACTGGAAACACTTTCAGATTTGTTTATCCTCAAATAATGTGATCTATTTTCATTTTGGGAAAAAAAAATAAAGAATTCCACAGAAAGAAATGCTTGCATGACTTTCTGAGTCACACTGTGTAGATTTTTTCCAGTAAGCTACATTATGCTGGATGCTGTTCAAAAGGGAAAATGTCAAACACACTGGGGTTCAGTCTGGCCAGTGGGTGGGTTTACTCAAGCACAGAAATCAAATATAGGCGTTCAAGCCAATACCTCAGAAACGACAGAATGAATTACCAATCAGAGCTGGAATTTTAGAAGTTATTTTTCAGCTGAATCCCACAAATACAATATAAATGAACAATCCTTGTGAGCATTACAATGGCATTTATCGTTTTTTTTCTTAGAATCCTAAAGTTGAAAAAAACTAGACATTATAAAATTTAACCTTTCTTTTATACCATATCTCTGACACATCTCTGATAGATTTTCCTACTTCTGCTTGAAAACTTCTGAAAACGGAGAGCTCACTACTTTGCAGCACAGTCCCTTCCTTTGTCAGATCAATGAAAGGCAAGGAAAAGAACCTGGAATGATATAAGCCAAGATAATAACAGTGGTTACCTAAGGGTGGGCAAAAAGATGCATTTCTTGTTGTTGTTCTTTTGCTTGTATTTTCTAGCTTTTCTATAATGGGTTTCTGTTTTTATAATAAGTAAAAGATAAGTACTCTTCAAAACCATGAAGAATTCCAATATTAACACTGGTGTTGTCCCAACTTTTCACTCGAAAAATTAAGTCAGAGTAAGATTCAATGGCTAAAAATTAGATACAAAAATTACCAATGTTCCAAAAATCTATGACTGGGAAATATCTATTTCAACTGCATCAATATGTCAACCAAGGTTATGTTGATCAAATTGTTTCCAGCTAAATTGCTCTGGTCAAATAGTAAGATAGTTAATAATTCTTAGACTATGTACCCTCTGCTTCTATCAAAACATTCTAAGGATGCCAAACATTTTAGAAACAGTATCATTCCATGAACTCTAATCAAGTTATTATTGATCTACACCACCAAATTTACTGTGTTCTATAATTATCTAAATGGTGGTTTTATTATTATTATTATTATGGAACTTAACATTTAACCCTTGTTAAATTGATTATATCACCTTTGTTCTTTCCTTCTTACAAGGTGCTAAGTGGATCGCTTAAGAGGTTATGGGGGAAAAATTTGTTCCCAGATGAGAAAGATCATGTTCTGCAGAATTACTCATGCATCTTCATGACTGTTCCTGCTTCCCCGCCTCCCAGGTCCTTGGCCTTCCCTCCTTGCTCCCAGCATATTATTAGCCAGCTCCTAGTACATAATATGCTTTCAAACAAATCATATGTATTGAGCATCTACTGTGTATCTAACACTTCCACATAGGAAGCGTTATTCCTCAACAGCCCTCCTTATTTCTCAACAGCCCAGTTGATAGGTATCTACAGGTGCAGAAACAAGGGGTAATTGATTAAGTAATTTCTTGAAGTTCCACAGTTATTCATTGACGAGAGTATGATATGAACCTATATCTGAATGGTTTTATTGCTAATGCTGCCTCTGGGTATTTTTTGGCCTTGGCTTCTTGCCTTTAACCTTGCCCTGCAAAATCTCAGGTAGACTCTGTCACCTCCTCTCTGATTTCCAACACTAACCTAAACATCCTAGGTTTTTTCCTGTGCATTATCCATAACCATATTGGATGAGGTGCTTCCTGACTATTTAGAATTTGGGTATCCAACGTACAAGCGTTATTTTCAAGATCTATAAGAGTTTATATTTGCTCACCTAGATTTTCTTCTAAGGCATTGATAAGATTTGTGAAATACCAAAAAGAGAACCTTTCCAGAGTGCTATCATTTTACATTTTAGAATGTAAAAATGTTGAAGATGAAATAGATGAAATGGTAAACATAATTTGAGTATATATTAGACAACCTACAATTCACCTTCTTGTCCATGAACATATTTTAACAAATTGTCAAATACCTTGGTGACATCAAAGCCTACAACATATCCCTGATCTATCGTTTTAGAAAAATTATGAAACAGTAAATCCAATACATACTGGACTATACTGGTTCATGTACTTGAACAGTTCAAAGATAGGACTGGGTTGATGCAGATGCTAAAGTAATGTCACCCAGACCTAGTCTCTCTTCTTGGTTCAGTGCTCCTCCATTTTGACCTCCATCTTAGGGTTTACATAATACATGATATATGCTGGCAGCTCCCAGCCTACACCCTCCCAGGCCCACTACATACAAATCACTTTCATTGTTTGAGGAGTTACAAGAGGCATACAACTAAGTAAGACAGCCTTTCACCACAAAAGGCAGTATAGTCTAATAGAGAAAGCATGTGCTTTGGTGGAAAATAGATCTGGATTTGAATCTAAGACTTGTCCTTGAGCAACTTATTCAAACTTGGTGTCTTAAATTATAAAATGGAGATTCTATGTAGTTCATAGAGTTGATGTGAAATCCTAAAATTTGAATGAAATAATGTAAATTAAGTGCCTAGCATAATGCCAGGAACATTGCAGCTGCACAACCTATCAGCAAAAGTAAGTATACCAATATAATAATGCTAGTAGTGATATATGTTCTGTAATATTGATGTAAATTAATATACTAGGGTTTCAGAAGGTTCATATCTGATTGGGGTGATGGGGCTAGAAAATATTTCATGGAAGAAATGGTATTTAATGTGGGTCTTGGAAGGATGAATGAGGGCCAGGCCCGGTGGCTCATGCCTGCAATACCAGCATTTTGGGAGGCCGAGGAGGGCAGATCATGAGGTCAGGAGGTCAAGGCCAGCCTGACCAACGTGGTGAAACCCCGTCTCTACTAAAGATACAAAAATTATCCAGGTGTGGTGGTGAGCACTTGTAATCCCAGCTACTCAGAAGGCTGAGGCGGGAGAATCACTTGAACCCAGGAGGTGGAGTGCGGTGAGCTGAGATCACGCCACTGCACTCCAGCCCGGGCAACAGAGTGAGACTCTGTGTCAAAAAAAAAAAAAAAATAGCCATGAAGCTTTCATGTCTAAAGAAAAGGAGATTATTTTCTTAATTTTAATATTTCTTAGATTTAAAATGTGAAAATGTTGAAGATGAAATAGATGAAATGGTAAACTAATGAATCTCGTAATAAATCTCACACAGATTTATGAAATGTTTTCTCAGTGAATAAAAAGACAAATGAACTGTGATCAAATGATTCAAGGACAGTCATGAGATGTAGAGAACATGTTATTTTCTTTCTTAGACATACCATCATCCATAGCTCAGGCAGGATGTTCATCTCACACTTCAGCCCTTTGAGGTGTAAGCCAAGCTACAGATGCAGTGACAATAGAAATGCTATAAAATCAGGGATGCCACAGTCCAATTTGGTGCAGTAAGAACACAAAGGAACAAAGTATCAGAAAAGATGAAGCACATGTTCTCAGTATGTTTAGTTGCAAAGATAAAGTTCACAAGGAAGAAAAAAAGTTTTAAGTCTAAAAACCTTTTTTTTCTGAGTGTGTTTTGCTTTTGGGACCAAGTTGCAGGTTAATTTGGGTGGCTAAATAAATCAATAAGTTATTATTCTGATGTGGATATAGTACTTTGCCTTTAAAGAAAAGTTTCTCTCTTACATATTATCTTGTTTTATCTAGTTAAGGAGAGGAAAGGATGGAAGACAGAGGGGAGAAAAAAAGGTCAGACATATAATCAAAGCATCCTAATAAAAATTGGTTGGTATGGAGCTAAAGGGAAGCTATGGATTCCAATCAATTTGTACCTCAATGAAATGTGTGTGCTTTAAACACTGTGGTTTAAACCTTGTGGTTTGCAGACACACTGAATTTCACAGATGTGTAATCAAGGAAGTCACCATCACACAAAGTTCTTGTGAAGTAGCTTTCTGAAGTAATTCACTCAAATTCTCCTGATGGTGAATGTGGGGAACATCAACCCATTTGTTTGGGAGAGAGGGAGTTCCCTGACTCTTACTTCCAGGAAGGAGGCCATCTTTATGCACAATCTGTTGGCCCCACTTAATTTCTTCAGTTTATTTCCCCTGGCTCAGAATCCTGAAAAAAGTCTAAACGTGAAAATGCTGCACCTGAGAGGGTTTATATCTCTCAGTGCGGTAGAGGCAATGTCAAAACTATAAACTACCTGATACCTGAAATAGGCTGATAGCTTTTAAAAGTCACAATCCAAACAGAGCCCTCTGTTTACATTTCCTTATGTGAGTGAAATACCAAAGCAAACCAGATGTCTTTTGATGGGCTCTGGATTTTTACACACACACACACACACACACACACACACACACACACTACATCCTGTCTCACACCTGAAATCTTTATCCATCCTCCCAACTCCATCCTTACCATCATGGCCATTCATGGCAACACACATGTCTGTTCTGTGCGAGTTCTAAGGGAAAGTAAATATGAAGTATAGAGGCGTAGACACGTATTTGCCACTCCTTTATTTAACAAGTAATTGGTAAGTGCTTACTATGCCCCAGTCACCATATAATCAGTAGGCACTATATGGCCAGTTGTTTTATGGGTTACCCATATTCTAGTAACTTGGAAATCCTGCAATAAAGAAAAATTATCAGAACAAAACTGGAAATAAGATACCACTTCTTCTATTTACAGATAAGGAAATTAAGACTCAGAGATATCAAATAGATTGGCTGAGGGCAAGTGCCTTGTAAATTGTAGAAGTGGGCTTTGAACCAGGTGTTCCTGATTCCAAACTCCATGCTCCACACCACTCGGACTCTTCAATAACTTTTTATGTGTCTATTGATGTGAACCAGTATTTACTCTGATGCTTAAAAAAGAATTCTGTTTAGAGGAATGTAAACCAAATAAACAACTCAATCCAGAAAAAGAGTAGGAAATAGGCAAGCAAAGCACAAAAGTCCCAATTACTCAACTAAGCAAGCCATCTTAATAGAACCTGTAATTCATCTCACTTTCTCTGAGAAGCAACGAGTAGGCAAACTCTGAGCTAGTGTTCATTTAGTATTTAATATTTACTTCCGAAACCCATTTCTGAATTGAAATTCTGACTGAAATGAAGACATAATTATCTTCTGCTCAGGACCATGAGACATTAATTTACACACACATTTAAAAAATCATTTTATTGAATTAGACACCTGATCTAATAAGCAGAGATGTCCACTGTCTCTTGTGCAGTTTTCATCATCTTCTCTCTGGCCCTCCTCCCAGTATTATTATTATGCTCTTTGGCTCTTGTGTACACAACAAGGAACCAAGTGATGAGTGATTCTCTAGGCCAGAATATCATTTATTGATTTTGAATGCACACAAGTCAGAAAAGAACAAATAAGCCAATGAAAAGTATAACCTTATTTTTTTTAACAACTGTTATGCTCATTTAAGAAACAACCAAAAGATACCAACACCACCCTAAAATTAAGAAATAAAATTAATCTATATTAAGAGAAATACAAAACAATCCTCCATTCTACACAGAATTAATCCCAGGCTGGAGGAACATTGACACATTTCAGGAAGCCAAAAGAAAACTCTGCAAATCAGGAAAAAGCAATCTGAATGCAATGGCCAAAAAAGGGCTTTGCAGAGTTTAACACTGAAGACTGAGACAAAGTCTAATATTTCTTATCTATTATTTTAGAGGCTTAGATATATATATATATATATATATACACACACACACAAAGAGAAGGAAAAGCTGCATTTCTTGTCTAATGATTAAGAGCAAATAGGGTGAATCAGAATTTGTTAAAATTAGGTGCAGCTGCAAGTGACAAAAATGACAAAATAGCAATGGTAGAAGTGCATTTCTCATATAAATAGAGTCTGTGGGAAGACAAGTCATGGCTAGTAAGTAACTTTACACTAAATCACTCCCGCTCTGTCCGACACTGTGCCTGGACTTACTTGCTTTCTTGCCTTACATCTATAAATACAGCTCTGTCTCATCTCTGCTACGCAAAGAAAGCAGCCCCAATGGGCATGGAAAAGAATTACTCAATAAGCAGTTACCTATTTGGAGGGAAAATTGATCTGAATGTCAAATCAAACCATAAGCCAGAATAAATACAGATGGATTAGAATGCTAAAGTTTTTTTTTTTTTTTTTTCAAAAAAAGAAATCAAAGCATGAAAGAGCTAAAATAAGGGCAAATATTTATCAACATCCTGAAGGGGAAGGTCCTTCTAAGTTTCAAAGGAATAAAAGAATTCACAAAGGAAAAGTTCAATAGATTTTACTATGTAAACGTCTAAAATGTCTGTGTGTTAAACTATAACCAAAATTATAAGAAACTTTTTAAAACTGGGAAAACAGTTGCCTTAAACATGATAGAGAACATTTTCTATCATATTTGAAATTGCTGAAATAAATAGATAGAATAATTATTGCGACCCACCACAGCTCCACACATTAACATGAATGAATCCTATGAACAAAATGTTACGCAAAATGATCCACTCACAGGAGTTCAGAGTATGATTTCATTTTTATGAAGTTCGAAAACAGGCACAACTAAACTAAATTGTTTATGAATCCCTACATAGGTAATAAAAATATTAAGAAAAGCAAGGGATTGATGATCCAAAGTCAGGATCATGTTTTGGGTGAGGGAGGGAGGCGGGAAGAGGAAACACTGGAGAAGGCGATGGTCTAGCAGGCAGGAAGGGAGATGCGGAAACAACGTTTTACATTCTGGTTCCTAACTTGAGGGCTGGTCGCACAGTCCTCTGTAGAATTATATTTCAAGCTGTACATATGTTTTATACACTCTTCCGTATGTACCACATGTACTTCCCAATAAGACGGGGGAAAAGATCTCAAAAGATAAATGGGAAATGGATGTGCACAGAAAATTCACAAAAAGTGGAAATGCAAATAACTAGCCATCTTAGGGAAAAATATCCAGCTTACTAGAAGTCAAAGATATGTAATTTTTCAATCAATACACTGTCATTTTCTGCCTAATATTTGTGATAATATTTTTTCTTTCTATAAAAACTTAATGCTGATAATATAGTGAAAAAGTACCCTTAAACACTACTGAAAGAAGTGAGAACAATTAGGTAATATGTGTCAAAGGTCAAAACCTGTCTTTAGGCCGGGCGCGGTGACTCATGCCTATAATCCCAGCACTTTGGGAGGCCGAGGCGGGCGGATCACGAGGTCAGGAGATCGAGACCATCCTGGCTAACACAGTGAAACCCTGTCTCTACTAAAAATACAAAAACAAAAAATTAACCGGGAGTGGTGGCGGGCACCTGTAGTCCCAGCTACTTGAGAGGCTGAGGCAGGAGAATGGCGTGAACCCAGGAGATGGAGGTTGCAGTGAGCCAAGATTGCACCACTGCCCTCCAGCCTGGGCATCAGAGCGAGACTACTTCTCAAAAACAAAACAACAACAACAACAAAAAAACCTGTCTTTAACCTTCAACCTACAAATTCTACCTAGGGTATCTGTGAAGAAATAGTCCTAAATTGGAAAGGAAAAGCAATAAATATCAGACAATTGATATTGATACCAGCTAAAATTGTTAAATGCTAATTCTCTAATATGTAATCAAAGGAAAAAGCAAATAACTGTATACTTAAATGACAGACTATTACATAGATAAAATAATTCTTATAAAATTATAATAATGTAGAAGACATTATATTAAAAGAAATAAGTTGGACACTAAACTGCATATATAGTTTGGTACATTTGTGTAGAAGTATGCAAATCTTTTACCTAGAGGAGAAAAAGTCTAGAAGGAAATATATCAAAATGTTACAACTGTGATTTTCTTTACAAAGTTGAAACTATGATAAATTTTCTTTTGAAAAAATGTCCCTGAATGTTCGAATTTTTAAATGATAAGAATACATCATATGCAAATTAATTTCTCTTTCTCTCTCTCACTTTCTTTCTATCAAGGTTCTTTAAGGTATTGCTGATCCTGTCCCAATGGGATTGGACATCAGCCAGATTTCTGATTTTGCAACATCCAGTCAGAATCAAACTTTCTATATTCACATTAGCCATGTCTTGATTTATACCTTCTTTCCAACCTCTGATCAATGGTCTTATTTCCCAGCTCACTGTTCACTTTCACTTTTCTAACTTAGTATTGAGCTGGGCTGACCATCAATTTTCTGACATCTTTCATGTAGCTCTGCATCAGCTCTCTTGTTCCCCAAGGACAGCCCTAATGTGCATGGCCTTTCAGGGATTTAGTGGCGCAAAGATGCTCTAAGTTTTAATTCTATGATGGGGGTTAATTATAGTTCCCTTTGTTTCCATTAGAGGGATTGGTATATTGCACAGAGCTACAGCTAGATTAGTTTTACCTTAGCGTAGTGTAGTGGTTTAAAGCTTGGACTTAGATTCAAGTAGACATGAGTTTGAGTCCTGGTACTACCGCTTAATTGTTACATGACCTTAAGCAAGTTATTTTTTTTAACTTAGTTCCTCTTCTGAAAAATATAAACTAATACCCGCCTTAAAACTTTTACTGATCAAATGAGATGATCCATGTAAAACTCTTCATGCCTAGCATTTAAAAAGTATTCCATCAGTGTTCTCATTATCATTATCTACTTGTACGGCATCATCCCTTCACCACTTCTCACTTCAAATGTAATATTCTAATAGAAAGTACAACAACCAATCATTTTACATTAATTATATTGCAGTTCTTTGTCTTTTTTGTCCCCTGCCAAGCCAACAATTTTACCTAAGAATGTTCTTCAAGAAACACTGCTCTTAATTCTTCCATGCAATAGATTCCTTTAAGCAAGTATAGGATTCAACAGAGTCCTAAAAAGAGGTTAGGAATATGCATTGAGTCATGTCCCTGTAGAGCTGGAAAGCGGAGCAACCAGTGCTGAAAGAGAGTGCAAAAGCTGCCTTAAGAATTTGGAGCCAGAGTCTTTGAGAACTTCTCAAGCATAGGAATCAAAGAAAAAGACCATGGAAACCTTCAAAGTCACATGTGGGATACTAGGAGTATGAATCATAAAAAGTAAAAATAGTGCCTTTGGTTTGCCCTAGCTTGATGACTTTGCTTTAGCTCACTAGCTGACTCAATGAAAACCATCAGTCAATTCTGTTGTTTTGCATTTTGAGAATATGATAATTGACTGACTGTTTCACTTTGGCCATCTTGTGAGTAAGCAGTATACCCCACCTTGATTATCACAGAGTAGCTGCCTGAATTACATGGTAAAAATATGCACATTCACCTTCAATGTCTTAGCTGGAAATGCCTCCTCTTTGTGTCCTAGAAAGACCCTGTCCCTTTCATTTTTTTTTTTTTTTTTTTTTCTGCAGGAAATCTGGACCATCTGCTGGGGAGAAATCTGTTTCTTTGCAGGATAAAATGCTCCCTACAAATGTAAAAGCTTTTATATCCCAGGACTGTTATTCAAAGCACCTTTAAGCTCAGCTTCTTACAGCGCCGTCTGAAAAAATACAAAACAACAGCTATGTCTTTCAAGTAAAATCAATGGTTTCCTCACAAACTAGACTATGTGTCATACAACATAAAATGCAATTATATTTTGGATCAGACTGAGCAGTAACAGGACTAGGGTAACAATGTTATCAGCATTTACCTTGTTAAATTCATATCCGAGGACAGAGGCTTGCTCATTTCACATGATATCTTACCTGATTAACTGCAAGCAAATGGATATGGTTTCTGTTCTGCCTTTCTGCCCCAGAAAGGGGCCAAAATATACATAGGCTTAGAAAAAGGCAGGTGTTTCTCCACACAATTGGATCTGACTTGAACATTTTGCACAGAAAAACCGCGAAGACTCTGGGTGACATATTCTATGCTTAACTATGTGTTTAACATTTATAGGTCATTTAGTCCTCATCTGTATTATAATTTTGCTGTGTGCCACAAATGCAAAATGAGTTTTAGTGCTTTTTGATATATGACTACAGTTTATTACATTTCCATAAAGCTGTCCAATATTTACTAGGGTTTTATACCTATATTAAATGATTTTCTTCAACCGCCAAGGAGATGATATTGCCATAGTAACAGTGTAATTTTCTAAACCCCATTTTCAGGTGTCTTTGGTTTCATCCAAGTGGTACATTTTCCATTTAACGTAGCAGTACATAAAGTCATTAACGTGACAGTTGAGTACCTTTATGTCTGTGCTAAGAACACTGACGGAAACATTACCTTTGGGTCATATGAAACAATTATTGGAAAAAGCTGCAGGAGATAGTAAACAGCTTAGGAAATTCAAATTTTCTCCTTATAAGCAAATGACAAAGAAAGAACACCTTGAAAGTTCACCTTGCCTACTGGACATCTCTCTGAGCCTTGGCAATGAGACAAGGAAAGTGACCCCTTCTTTCCAGTGTCTTACGGGGTACCCTAGCACTGGGTACCCTAAATCCTGATCTTGGGGTGCTCAATATCAGGAAAAGTTTGTACCAGTGTCAACACAGACCTCTGATCCCTCTACTGGTTTTTATTTCCTTCACAAGCTATAAATACAGATTTTTAAAATTTTGTTCGTATGTTTGTTTTTTATCTATTCATAGACCTCCATAGTTAATCCAGAGTGAAGTAGTGAGTTCCATGGGAGCAGGTACCATCTCTGCCTTTTATCTTACATTCTGAGCATTAAGCACAATCTCTGGCACATAATAGGTGTTGAATAAATAAATAATTTAAGTGAATGATGTAACATTCCTTCCACGTGTAGACCCGCAGCCCTGTAGACCCCTGGTTAGCAAAAAAATAAATAAATAAATAAAATAAAATACTGTTTCCCTTCAGGGGGAATAAAGGTGCAATAAACTTAAATTATTTCATTATAGGATTTCAGTAGGAAAGGCTTAAAAAAAAAGCTGCAACTCCAAACATAAATTGTGTTTCAACCATCCTTGGGCTAGGATCCCTGTCCCAGTCCCACCAGCCCCTCAATGATGGCATGGGCCAGGCAGAGTGGTTTATATGGTGGATGTCTCTATCTGCACTAATGTTGCAAACCAGCCTGCTCTTGACTAGCTTTTGCCTTAGGCACACCCTGCACATCATGGCAGCTTGATTCACTAAGTCATATTTCCATATTGAAAGCTTTGACTATAGCAGAAAGGATGCCTCCATCCCTCCCACCTATTCTATGTGTGAAGGACACTAGTTTCCTCCATGGAAAGACATCATCCATAAAGGTCTCAAAAGAGACAGAACAATAAATCTAGTCTTGCATTTTCAGAATTGTTTTCCTATCTAAAGAAAAATAACTTTAAATTAAAGTGAGTATTAAGTCAATATACCTCCAAGTTTCAAGTAAAAGGGAGAGTGTTCAGATACAAAGAAGCCTGTTACTAATACCAGGTATCTTCATGTGGAAAAATTCCTATCATTCAAAGCAGGAAGCTGTACTAGTGGATCTCACTAAGGCAATAGCTAGAAGGTTCAAGGCATAGTGCTCAAAAGGCCAAGCCAGCCTGGGTTCCATCCCCATAAGAAGCAGTTAGCTTGTGCTGCTTCATGGCCATAGCTGTTCCACTCACTGGGCAGCCCTCTCATTCCAGTGGTCAAAAAGGGAATCCAGCAAGAGAACATGGGTAGGTAGCGCACCAGGAGAGAAAAGACATCTTAGCTCTCACACTTGATTCACAACAAACCAGAAGGGTAATTTTCACATGTGAAGGACAGCACGTTAGCTGACAGATCAATAGTATTATCAGGAAGATAAAAATGTAATAAACATTCCAAATTTCATTCTTATTGAACCACAGGAAGATAAACAAAAAGGTTATGGAAGTATCAGTCCTGAATATATTCTATTTCTAAACTGAATCCCATATATGTCCTTTCTAAAATTCAAATTTATAAATAGGACATTAGTATAAGCTACTGTGATCAAGTACAATAAGTAGGCATAATTGACACAGTAATTGATGTTTGATGAAAAAACACAAGGTAACTGCATAATTTCAAATATAAGAGAGAATTGTTTTTCCAAAAACCAACTGGAGATGTTGGTTCTTTCTTTAATATCTTATTTTCAGAAGACATGAGTACTTCTATTTATTTATAACTCTTCCTCTGTTAGTTCTGCAAGAGGAAAATCTCATGGCACACCTTCAATATTTTATCTCTTGGATTAATTGTAACAATATAATAATATTTCCTTTTGTCATATTAATAAAAAACAAGAGCTTTGCTACAAAAGTTACTATTTAATGAAAATCCAGTGTAATAAATACAATATGTTTTTATTATCACCCAATTCCCTCAATCTCAAAATCAATATTAATTAAATATATAATAATAAATGGATTCATAATGGAGAATAAAAAAATGCAACCAGTTATGGCCAACTGTATAGTGTTTAATGGCTGAAATATATTACAAAATTACTGATCATTCAGCATAAATATTCAGCCAGAATCTTAGAGGGACAGAATAGTTTCTTCCTTGCAATGAGTTCCATTTTCCCTTTTAGATAAATGTATGTAGCTGGGATTACAGGTGCACGCCACCGTGCCCAGTTAAATTTTGTATTTTTAGTAGAGATGGGGTTTCATTATGTTGGCCAGGCTGGTCTCAAACTCCTGACCTCAGGTGATCCACTAACCTCAGCCTCCCAAAGTGCTGGGATTACAGGCCTGAGCCACTGCGCCTGGCCTCAGGTAGTCTGTTTTACAGAGGAAATACAGAGTGTCAGACAATCCAGTAAGTTAGCTCATTAATTGAAGTCAGTTACAAGAAATACTAGCAACATAATCAGCAGATTTCACTTTCCTAGCTGACTTCCCTCAAGTTCAATGTGGTATTTGGTTTTGTTTTAGAATATAACTTCTTTTCTAAGACTTCTGATTTCCCCCATATACAAATCCATTAAATTTATGATGCAAAGAAAATATACAAGCAATATAAAATTACCTGTGAGATAATAGTTATTTTTTGTAAATATGTGTCCATGATCTAAAACTGTTTTGTGTGAGACTTGTTCAATAGTAACTTTGGTCCCTTGATATAGAGCAGGGGTCAGCTGCCTATTTTTGTAAGCCTAGTTCTGGAAATCAATAACACTCTCTAGACGTCTTGTTAATAATCCCTCCTTAGATCACTTAAAATCTCTGCTAGGGAGGATACATGAAAGGTTGGCCCAGAGTTTGGCTGTGGACTCAATAGGAAGTTGAAATGCAGCCCGTAATAAAGGTGAGACAATGAAAAGAAGGTGGGCTTAGGAGAAATCCAGCTCTGGGGAGGAATGCGGGTCCAGAAATGGATTTTGTTCTTACTTCCCTTTTGTGTCGTGTTTATGCCAAGCCACAGATCTTTTTAATGCAAAAGCAGTTATTTCAGGCTGAAGTCTGATCTTTCAGCAGGAGAGTTTCTAGGCAGTTTCTTTCACATTATTCAAACTGCTTCTGCTAATTGATTGCCTTTTGTTTAGAGTCCAAAATGGAACATTATACTTTTCATCAATTTTCTCAGCAGTCTGCAAATGTACTATTTATTGTGTGTAAAGTTCTACTTAAATAACATTCAATCATCTTTCCGACAAATTTCAGTGAGCAATGTTCCTGGAGATGCTTAACAACCTGTAAAGCCTATTCATTGTGTGAAGTGCCTCTAATGATAAATAGCCAATATAGGAACTCTTTAGGCTTATAATTTCTTTAGATGAATTTTCTTGACAGTGTTGAACAATGAATACCACTGTTTGCAAATGAGTATGTCATACATTCCCACCAGCTATTCTTAAAGCTGCCCTTTTTTGGGGCAATTGCATAGTGGTGTTTTGGGGAGGGAGGTGAGGAGCATAAAAACTTCATAAAACATATGTATCACTGTTGTTTTAATATATTTTTATTTCTATTCAAAAGGCACTTCACCTGAAGCAGTGGCTTCATCGAAAGCTGGTATTAGTAATTTTTATTCAAAGCTTCCCCAAATAAGCAGAGTCTATAAATGAAATTGTCTGTTATTCACAACCTGATCGTTGCCACTCTGCTTAAATAAAAACCTTCACAGCTTAAATCAAAACCTTCACACAGATTATGTAATTCTATAAAACAGTTGAAGATCATTAAATTGGTCCAATTTCTTTTTTGTTTTATATTTATATGAATTAAGGACAAAAAAATGCATCTATTGAATACTTACTATATCAGGCACTGTCATCACCAGGTATACAAAGATAAATAAGATTGCTGTCCCAAGACAATTTGGCCATTCATAGGTGTCGGGTTCTCTTGGCAGCCTCTACTAAACCTTTAACCCAGAGGTAAAGGAGAGCTATTGGTGCCCTCTCACACAACCTCACTACTGTTTGTATATTACAATAAAAGCAAGTCTCAGACCAAATTCTGCCAAGCATGCATTTATTAGCATGGATGTGAAACAATCAAATACATGCACTGTCATACAATCTGTCCCTGCAGGCTCAGTGAAGTCCTAGCTTCTGTTTTTAGTCACTCAGGACAGCACCTTGCATGAAGGGTGTTCTGGTGGCAGAGGGGCCTATGTTCCAGCAGCAGGTTTCAGCTAACCATCTAATCTAGATTGCTCCTGTTAAGTGGGGTGAACACAAGATTGCTGGGTTTGCCAGGTTCTCATAACCCATTCATAGAAGACAGAGGTGTTTGTACTATCTTTCCGGGCAGTATAATTATCCTGAATGCCATCCATTTCACCTATGAAAAAATACTTCTATTATCCCTTGATCTCAATTTAGATAGTATTTCCAAGTGATTAGGTTATAATAACTCTCCTAGAATGTAGACTATAGGAGCTTGGAAATGCCACTTCATCACTTTTTGAGATTGTACCTATTTAGGATACTTTATCAACCTGCCAGTAGGATGTAGAGTTTGTCACTAACTGACACACATACATATCATATCATCTATGAAGAAGTATTTCAAATAAATTACAGGCGGTAGAACATGAGTTTCTCAGCACCACAATACTTACATGCACAAAAATCTAATTGAGTACAGAGAAGGGAAGGATATACTCAGCCTGGGGTGTTAGGGAAGCTTCACAAAGTAGGTTATATTTGAATGGAGTCTTGAAGTTTACCAGGGAGAAAAGGGAGTTGGGCATAAAGGAATCCCAGGCTGAAAGAACAGCTTGTATAAAAGCAGGAAGACAAAAGACAATCATGTGTGATCATGCATGTAGTGTAAGAAATCCAGGGCAGCTGAAACATGAAATGAGCAAGGAGGTAAGGGGAAAAGTGAATGACAGAACATGAGGTTCTACAAACAGCAGATAGCTTGGACTGCCTTTGATTTCTTCCTTTCCTTTTCTTTCCATCATCACCATAGCATGAGATAGTGGAGAGAATGGAGTACTCTCAGTTAGAATTTGTCACTTCTTGGTCATCCAGACTTGGGAAAGTGATCTGCTGGTACTCATTCACTAAAATGTTGATTCACAGACCTAGCTAATCACTGAATCAAAATACAGTTTCCCAAGCCCCATCCCACACCTCCCAAATCAGGCTCTCTGGAGGTGGCTCCTGTAATCTGTTCTTTTTAAATTCCTAATTTGCGAATCGCTGTCTTAAGTGCAGGAATTCGCCTTTGTTAAAAATCCTGTAAGTGGTTGTTATTTCTTTTGGCCTATTTCTTCCAAGAAGAAAAAGGAGAGAGAAGCAACCTGAAGAGTCTGAAATAGTTAAAACATAAAATCTTTAAAATCCTTTGGCCAAGTTGTGGCATTTGTAGGGGGAGGGAAAGATTATCCAAAGGTAAAAGACTTTTCTCCCTTTGAAGCTATATTGGTGTGATGTGAATCAAACCATTCATGCAGAGAACAAAAGCACTTTTGACTTCAGCAGCCAGTTAAGATGGTAACTTAAATAAACAGGGAGGAAAAGAGATATGACAAAAGGTCAACTTAGTCATAGCTTCTTGAGCTTCAACTGAAGCAGTGCCCAAGGCTGAACAGCTGAATTGAGTTGGCAATTATTCACCCTTCCAGAGGTTCCCAACCTGAAGTCACCAGACCTGTGAAGCCAAGTCAGAGGGAGGTCAGGAAACTATTTTCAATATTTCAAAATTTCTACTGGATTGCTTCTCAAAGTGTTGTTCAAGGAACAGTGAGGTCTAAACCACCTGAATGATAAGGACAACACTTGTTAAAAAATGAAGATTCCCACCCCAACAGATCATATTTTAGATTATTGGGTGTGGAAACTGGATATCTGTATTTCTTTATTTTTTAAAATTATTTATTTATTTATTTATTTATTTTTTGAGACAGACTCTCACTCTGTCACCCAGGTTGGAGTACAGTGGTACCATCTCGGCTCACTGCAACCTCCATCTCCCAGGTTCAAGTGATTCCCCTACCTCAGCCTCCTGAGTAGCTGGGATGCACCACCACGCCTGGCTAATTTTTGTATTTTTAGTAGAGACGGGATTTTGCCATGTTGGCCAGGCTGGTCTCGAACTCCTGATCTCAAGTGATCTGCCCGCCTTAGCCTCCCAAAGTGCTGAGATTACAGGTGTGAGCCACCGTGCCTGGCCCAGATCTGTATTTCTTTTTAAACACTAGAAGATTATGAAAGAACTAGTTTGTGATAAGGCTAAGAAAAATATATCTAACTAGCACCCCAATTTCCTCTTCTTTGGCTGAAACTACCAAATCATTATGGAGATTCTTTCCTATGAAGGAGTAAAAGACATACTATACCCAAATATGCCATATTGATTATTTCAAGCTGAAAACACTGGAAAATTGTAGTTTCAAGAAAAGGCTGACCTGTCTTTTCCTGTCAGGTGCAAGCCATAAAGATTTCTTTGAGACAGGTGCCTTCCCACTACCAGGACAAAAGAATAGTTCTTAACATTGGAGCCAGACTTGGCACTGCAACAGGACTGAATTAATTAACTCTGCCACTAGCTTTACACTCCATGTATATACCTCCTAGTGACTCCTCTAGAATTTACTACCCCAGGCAGATTTCTTTGTCCTGTCATTTCTTCACAAATTTATTTTTGTCTAAAAATTATAAAAGCTTTGGCCATTTCTTGGGACTTCACACTCTGGTGGAGATGCCCCCACACTCAGGTAAAACATGCATGCTTTTCTCTTGCTAATTTGCCTCGTGTCAGTTTGGCTCCCAGACCCAGCCAAAGAGCCCATAGAAGAGTAAAGGTGCAGTGAAGGGTATCCCTACCTCCCCTACACTTAGCTCATGCTAATCAGTATTCCTAACAATCCCATATAGGTCTTCGATTAATAAAAGTGGAGAAATAAGTTATTGAGTGATAAATACCATCTACTTAGTAGAGTAAAAGCTATCAAAACATGGGTCAACGGAGAAACTTTTAAAGGAATTCTTGATAGTGAAAATTTAAAATGACTTACCTTTGACTGTTCTCCTCCTCCCTTCTCTGCTGAATACATTTTGTCTAGAATCTTCAGAGTAGAAAAATACACATGAAAACAATTTTCCCCCCGTTCCTCTCTCAACATTCCTTCCCTTATCCCTCCTCTCCACATGTCCCCCTTTTTTCAAATGGGATGGCTATTCCACTATTCCAGTTGGCATTGGGTCTGGTGCCCTGTGAGGGAGCCTACATTTCTGAAATACTTCTCTGGGAAATAAAACACCAGTAACCTACCACTACTTGATATAACAGGTATTTCCAGAGCCAGCTTTGTTAAGGATTTGCTGCATGGTTCATGGGTGTTTTCTCCTAATGTCAATTATCAGTAAAAATCACTTTCAGGAGTTCTGACTTAAACAGTTACCAGAGAGAAAGAGAGAACACTAAAATGTAATCTAATATCATTTTAATAACCATAGAGTCATATGATTCTAAGAATATAAAGATAATATAAAACACAGGATTTCATCAAGTTCAACAGTCTTTAAAAATCAATGGAAGAGATATGTTTAGAGCCAAGGAAGTACAAAACTAATCAAACAATGTAAGGATTGTAGATTCCCCTGAGTAGAAAATCAAAGATCTTGACTATGAAACCACCACCTCCCCTGCAGTTATGAATTCATTGGCATAACAATTATAACAGGGTTCTATCAAGGTTGCCCAAAAGAATTCTTCTGATTATGCAACCTTAAGTTAATAGCAAAATTACATGGAAAGGCATTTCCAATTGGCTTGAGCCAAATTGCTTAAAAACAACCATTAGGTTCTTTTTTGGTAGATAACAATAGCAGTCAGCTGCTCACCTACACCTCACCGCTGTGTTAATATGAAAACTCAAACCAAATTCTGCCATACGCACCGATTACGTTTAGAGATAAGAGTAAAAAGCTAGCATGAATTGTGTGCTCTTTACTGAAGGTGGAGATTGTCTCAAATGTTTTAGCCAAATCATATCTCTTTAATAGCACTAATTCCATGCATGAGAGCATACTTCTATGATCTATTATGCTAACATAATACTTGAAAATACTTCTATTATTCATTATGCTAATTAGACAAATGCGTAGTGTTGATCGAACGTAAAGATAGCTAAAGCCTTGCAGAAGCCTCCTGTGGAATGCAAACTTTCTGAGCAAATGTGAGTTGACAACCATGGGAATGTGAATTTCTGATCAGGGCTACTGACTACCCCTAGATTTTAGCCTAAATTACACACACAACCATGTACATTTATAGCTCAAAAGAGACTGTGGGGAATGAGGTGATCATTTTTTAATACTGATAAGTATATGTTAACTTTGGGAGTATTTAAAATTAAGTACAGCTGGGTGCGGTGGCTCACACCTGTAATCCCAGCACTTTGGGAGGCCGAGGCGGGCGGATCATGAGGTCAGGAGTTTGAGACCAGCCTGGCCAATATGGTGAAACCCAATCTCTACTAAAAAAAAAAAAAAAAAAACACAAAAATTAGCTGGGCATGGTGGCTCACGCCTGTAGTCCTAGCTACTTGGTAGGCTAAGGCAGGAGAATCGCTTGAACCAGGGAGGCGGAGGTTGCATTGAGGCGAGATCGTGCCATTGCATTGCATTCCAGCCTGAGCGACAGAGTGAGATGTCATCTCAAAAAATAAATAAAATAAAATAAAATAAAGTATAAAATTGTACATCAAAACAAAAATACATTATTGTGTGGAGAAAGCTGTGCATATTTGAAATTTTTTCTTCTTGTAATGTTTAATAAAATTTATCCTAGTAGAATAATAGCTCAGCTTGTTTATCTCAATTTGAAATATGTGCTTGAGAAATTGATTCAGATTTATGAATTGAGTCAAAATCTTCCTAAATTTATATACAGTAATAGAACTCTTAAGCAGACCCAAGTTTCTCAATATTTATAAATGTACTTCTTAGATTCATAACAAGTGTTAAAGTATACAGAAAACTCTGATAGCCAGTTAAAGTTTTTTAGAAGGTTTCAAATCAATAAAATGTAGAGGCTGGGCGTGGTGGCTTACATCTGTAAACTCGGCGCTTTGGAAGGTTGAAGGGGAGAATCACTTGTGCACAGGAGTTGGAGACCAGCCTGGGCAACATGGCAAAATCCTATCTTCACAAAAAAATTTTAAAAAATGAGCCAGGCATGGTGGCACATGCCTGTTGTGCCAGCTACTCAGAAGGCTGAGGCAAGAGGATCACTTTAAACCCAGGAGGTCAAGGTGGCAGTGAACCATGATCATGCCACTGCATTCCAACCTGGGCAACAGAGCAAGACCCTGTCTCAAAAAATAAAATAAAATAAAGAAACATAATTTAAAATGTTTAAAGGCATTTAAATAACCAGATTTTAAATGGGACTAAGTATCATTCAAAAAACCCATCAAAGTAGTTGTTAAAATGCACCAGACATGTAAAACACAATAAAATTTTTGGACTGAGTTAAAAGCCGGTAGAACTAGATGTTTTTAATTATAATTCTGTTAAATTGAATTTTTTTTTTTTAAGATGGAGTTTCGCTCTTGTTGCCCAGGCTGGGGTGCAATGGTGCAATCTTGGCTCACTGCAACCTCCACTCCCAGGTTCAAGTGATTCTCCTGTCTCAGCATCCCAGGTAGCTGTGATTACAGGCATGTGCCACCATACCAGCTAATTTTTGTATTTTTAGTAGAGATGGTGTTTTACCGTGTTGGCCAGGCTAGTCTCAAACTCCTGACCTCAGGTGATCCATTTGCCTCAGCCTCCCAAAGTGCTGAGATGACAGGCATGAGTCATCACGCCTGGCCTGAATATTAATTTCTATGACCAAAGAAAACCTCTGAGTAGCTTTTCCTATACACATAACTCACCTTCAGGGCACTAACTAAAAATTTCATTATTAACATCATTAAACAAAATCTCTTTGTCAATAGGGATGACTGAGGCTTGCAGCATTTCTCATTTAGTGTAACACCTCCTTTGGGGTCAACAACAACAAAAAGAGTCAACGAACTCCATTCCCAGGCCCCCACTGTGAGTCAGGATGTCAGAATCAGCGTTTTGGGACTAGGACTGGGTTGTAGAAGTCATTTAATCTAATCTGTGGATGAAGAGACAAACTGAGAGCCTAGAAGGTTAACTTGTCCAGCATCCCCTGCAAACAAATCAGTAGTGGAGCCAGAGTTAAATACAGGTCTCAGGACTCCCAGCTCAGTGTTCTTTTCAATATTAATGAATATTTCTTAAGTTATACTAACCAGGCACTTTTTCTAGACTCTGGGGTTATAACAGTAATAAAGACAAAATCTTTAACTTCTTAGAGGGTGGAAGTAGATGATAAACACATATATAGTTTTTGTGAGGTTGTTGTTGTATTTTTGTTGTTGTTGTTTTTTGAGATGGAGTCTTGCTCTGTCGCCCAGGCTGGAGTGCAGTGGTGCGATCTTGGCTCACTGCAAGCTCCACCTCCGGGGTTCACGCCATTCTCCTGCCTCAGCCACCCAAGTAGCTGGGACTACAGGCGCCCGCCACCACACCCGGCTGATTTTTTTTGTATTTTTAGTAGAGACAGGGTTTCACCGTGTTAGCCAGGATGATCTCAGTCTCCTAACCTTGTGATCCTCCTGCCTCGGCCTCCCAAAGTGCTGGGATTACAGGCACGAGCCACTGCTCCCGGCCTGATAAACACACATATAAAGGAGAAAGTGTGAGTTGGTGATAAATGCTTTAAAGAAAACAAGGTGTCACGACAGGGAGTGTGTGTCTCACAGGTGGGTGGGGGTTGGGATGTAAGACTTTTATTTAGGCTGACCAGGAGGAAAGTTATCGCTGCAGGACTGACCTTTGAACTGGAACTGAACGATGAGAGAAGGCTACCAGCGCTGGGTGTAAAGGAGAGGAAGAAAAAATCTTCCTTTTCTATCCTTCTAGGTTCTTGGCTAAGGCCCCTGTTACAATAGACAGATTAACAAGAGAGACGGCCGGACACAGTGGCTCACGCCTATAATCTCAGCACTTTGGGAGGCCGAGGCAGGTGGGTCACCTGAGGTCAGGAGTTCGAGACCAGCCTGGCCAATATGGTGAAACCCCGTCTCTACTAAAAAATACAAAAATTAACCGGGCGTGGTGGCAGGTGCCTGCAATTCCAGCTATTTAGGAGGCTGTGGCAGGAGAATCCCTTGAATCTGGGAGGTGGAGGTTGCAGTGAGCAATGACTGCGCCACTGCACCCCAGCCTGGGCGAAAAGATCAAAACTCCATCTAAAAAAAAAAAATAGAAACACACAGGAGTTTATTAACATGCAAATCATGCATGTGACACATGTGAGTACCCAGAGACAGACGAGTCCATAACCTTTCAGGACTCGACTTTTATAGCATTTTTAACAAAGAATAATAATAAATGTGTAGAGAAATGACGGAACAAAGAATAATAATAAATGTGTAGAGAAATGACAGAACAAAGGAAAGCAGTTTTAGGTTTCCAAGGGCAGGGAACTATGGGAAGGTAAACATATGGGGTAAACTAGTGGAGTAAGAGTTGTTGGCAGATTCCTCTGGTGCTGTCTCTGGGTTGGTAAGAGTCTGGAGTCAGACCTAGGAAAGGAGAATTTAGATCCTGCCTTTAGGCAGAAAGGGGGAGGGTTGAGAGAAATGTTCTTGTGTTTGCTACTTCTTAATTGCCTTCAGCTCAAACTAATTCCTATGTCAAAAAGGCATATTTTGGGGGGACATATTCTGATCTCCTTCACCAGCAAAAAGCCCTGGGAAGAACATCAGGTGGTACAAACTACGGCAAGTACAAAGAGGCTGGGACAGAGAAGGGCTTGAGAAGTGGGGAGGAGGAACATTAAACTTCAACATTAAAACTTGAAGGTAATGCAAAGTTGCTTGGATTTTATTCTAAATGCAGTCTGGGCCACTGGAGGATGGTGAGCAAGGAGTGACATAACCAGATTTACCTTTTTAACGGAGCACTCTAGATGCTACGAGGAGAACGTTCTCTAAGGACGTGAGAGTAGAAACAGGAAAACCAGCTGGGAAGCTGCTACAATCCCCCAGACAAGAATGATGGTGACTTAACCAGTGTGTTAGTATAGGCGATGGGCAGAAGTCATCAGATTCTGGATATATTTTGAAGGTAGAACCTATAGGATATGCATCAGCCCATTGTTCTTTTTTGTGACTCACAGATATTTCTTGCCTCCTTCAGATGGTAAATGTATTATGGTTAGTGACAAGGCAATGGTGATATGGTGCAAAATTTGGAATCCCCCTATTTTAAAATGTCAGAAAAAGACAGAAATGCAGATCCCCAGCCCTAGACATGGCCCACCTCAATTTCCCTTGTAGCGACTCCTTGGGTGGTGGTAGTGCTTGAGAACTGTATTTTATGTGCTAATGGCTCAGGAGACAAATAGATAAAGTAGAAAGGGCTTTAGAGACAGACCTAGATCCAGATTTGGGCACCACAACTTACCAGCTGTGTGATCTTGAGCAAACAACTTGACTTCTTTGAACCTTTGTTTTATTATCTACAAACTAGAAAGAATCATTTTAAATATATTAAAATATCATTTAAAATGATTTTAAAATATCTTGCACAGTGTCTGATTATGCATATATTAGGCATTCAAGAAGGGTAGCTTGTTCCCTTTCCTGATGAGACTGTACCAGAACTAGGTAAACTGCAGCCCTTTGAGCTTAAAAGTGAGTATATCACATAAAGGTGCATTTCCTGGAAGCTCAGAGGATCTCAATAATACTGTAAATATCTTCTGCTATGTTCACAAATATTTAGAGTGAATGGGCACTTATCACAGGCTCCTAAAACTGTGACTTTAAATTTGGTCTCTAGAGGCCTTGTGAAATTGCCTTCCTGAGTTTCACAGCCTCTAATGTTAAACATCGTCTTAATTAAAACTTTCATTCTGAGAGAAAGAATCTAAAATAGGGAAAAGCCAGAGTGGGTCCCCTGGCTGCTGAAACTATCCAGAGCATAAAATAAAAACCTCAAGGTCAAGGACTATTTAACCAAGCTTAGCAGAGATATTTTCAGACTCTTATGCAAATTAAAACCACAAGATTAAACATAATTCTGGGCATAGTATTCAGACAGGTCAATTCAGCCAATTCAGGCCTCTTTTCCCTGCTGAATACCTATAATTTGTCATATGTACTTAAATGTCCCTTTTAGGCAGCTTGAACTCTACAATTAATGGGAGAATCAATCATATGATAATTTGTTGGCTCTGTCTACAAATATCGCCACCTTTGGTTTTCAAGGTTTTTCAAGGTCAGAGTCCCATTTTTTAGTTTTATCTTTATTATCTTAAAGGTCAATTACCTCCACTTCTTACAAATACCAATAGCCCTGCCAAGTGAGTGATTTCTTTTTTTTCTTTTTCAGAGACAGGGCCTCCCTCTATTGCCCAATTGGCTGTCAAAGCTCACTGCAGCCTCAAACTCCTGGGCTCAAGAGATCCTCCCATCTCAGCCTCCCAAGTAGCTGGGATTACAGATGCATGCTACTGTGCCCAGCTAAGTATTATTACTATTCTTTCTGTGTAGGGGGGGTCTCACTTTATTGCCCAGGCTGGTCTCAAACTCCTGGCTTCAAGCAGTCCTCCTGCCTCGGCCTCCAAAAGTGCTCAGATTACAGGCATGAGCCACTGCACCCAGCAGAGTAATTTTCAATTGTATTTCCATTTGTCTTTCCTTTAGTCTCATATCCACAGCTCCATATCCACATAAGGAATTGACACCCCTTTGATCTTCTATGAATCTTCCAAAATGATTACTAACTAATCTCAAATACCACCCAAGCATATATGGTGTATTAGGACTGTGCGCTGACATTTCTTCTTCCCTTTCAACAGCATGGCACAATACTGGCACAAAGAAACCATCAGAGAGTAATGACAGTGTCACACAGTACATCACATGGATTCCACTATCTTATGGATTGCATGAAATTAGTTCATCTATATGGATTAATTCCTTTCAAGGTGGTTTTTAGTCAAGTTCCCCTCAAAAACATACTGTGCAGAGATTCTATTGTTCTGATCATTCTTAATATACCCTCTGCTGTTTTGCCAAAAGTAACAAATATTCACATGATGTTGACCATATGCTGGGCACTGTTTAAAGACCTTACATCTAGAAACTCATTTAATCCTCATAAAAATTCTATAAGGAAAGTACTGTTATTATCTCATTTTACAGATAGGGAATTGAAGAATAGAGATTAAGTAATTTTCAGAATGTCACCAGTTATGAAGTGAAACCCAGTTGGTCTGGGTCTATCAACAAAACTCTTAGCCCCTGCACTAGGGTTTTTCAACCTTGGCACTACTGACACTTTGGACCAGATAATTCTTTGTTGTGGAGGGCTGTCTTGTGTGTTGCAGGCTGACTAGCAACATCCCTGGCCTCCACCCACTAGACGCCAGTAGCAACAATACCATACCACCTGCATTGTGACAACCAAAAATGTCTCCAGACACTGCTCAATATCCCCTGGGAGGCATGTTACAACTACCCATTGAGATTCACTGCCCTATACCATATTGCTACTGCATTAAAAAAGTAAAGAATAACTAGATTTACAGTTGTAGAAGGAAAGTTAAAGTTCAAGGATTAATATCATTAATCAAAGGAATCCTCACTCACTGTAATTAATATTGACAGTAGACTATGCTGTCTTTGTTCCTTCTTCTCTGGCCTTTTCCTAAATTGGAAAATTGCTCACCTAAGACCCTCAGCTGTCTCAGTTGGAGATTTGGCCCTTCCCTTTAAGTCTATAACTGAGGCATTGAAAGAGGTGTGTGGCTTCTTAAGCAATAACTGAGGCTGATCTCAAAAAAATGCACAGGTCACCTCAAAATCCTTTTACAGCCTTGAAGGTGTGAGGAGAGGCAAGCACAAACAGAACTTCATTTTCTCTTAGAAAGGAAAGTTATTTTCCCTTTCCACCTTCAGCAGGCTATTGCTGCCTTGTTCCCTAAATAGTACATTAAAATGTTCTGCAGTTCATGGGACTGCAAAGGTTTATGTGCTTACATGGTGCCACTCAGGTTCTCCCTGGACGCTGTGCACAGAAAAGCATTGAGAACACAACACTTTTCACAGCTTTTTGATGTTTTCTGGGGCTAAAAAGATTGCGTTGAAAATAAGGAAGACTTTTTCTTAGCTTTTCAAATCTCCATAACTGAGAGGATGCCTATGGTAATCTTGGAAACTGTTGCCAAAGGGAACATGCCTCGTGGCCAATGTCTAGTGAGTAGGTAGGAGACTGCACCTGATCAATAAACAATGGTGGAGTTGTTTTCATGGAGCATGTTTTCCATGAACCCAACCCAAGCAAATTAAACCACACATAAACCACCAGCCAGTGTGATATCTTTAAGAAATCAGACTATGCTCAATCAGAATAAAGCACCCAACTGGGTATCATTAAGCTTTTGAAAGTACTTATGCTGCTAGAATTTTTCCCTTGAGGTAATGATTTTGTTCAATATTGTTGCAGTGTGCATTTTTGAGTATTTGGCATGTGCTGGGAGCTATTAATCTAGTTCTCCCCCCACTCACAACTTCTCTGGCAGATACTATAGTGAAAATTTCAGTGAGGTAGCAATCAAGGAATCTTTGGTTCCATTGCTCCTTCCGCTAACAGCACATTGTAACCTTGACTAAACTACTTAACTTCAATGAGAATCAGATTCCTCAACCATACAGTGAAAAGTTTGGATTGTTAAAAAAAAAAAAAAATGTAAGATTTCCTACAACTCTACAGTTCCATGATCCTTTAAATTTATTTTTTAGCTAACATATATTGCGCTCTTATTTATCACATGCAATTCTTTGTTCTAAATACGTTCCATGTATTATTGCACTTACATTTCACAACAACTCTCTCTGTAAGGCAGTTACTATGCTCACCATGTTAAAAATGAAGACTAATTCTATAATGTAGTTCAATGCACTGTATCACCAAGGGGAAGTCTACCATTCAGGTGGAAGGAGAATCATGCCAGAGAGTACACAGCATAAGGGCAGGTGCCACAGCCAATCACTGACCTCTCTCAGCACCTATCACAGGTCCTGGCACCTAAAGGGAAGTCAATAAATACTGATTAGATATGTAAGTGAAGGAATAAAATGTAGTATCATTTTTGTAAAATGTATCAAGAAAGATGGGCAGCTATGGTTTGCAAGCTTAGAACTCACCCAAAAGTCCATATGCTGTGTTTCAAAAACATTGAGGCTTTAGTTCTCGTATGAGTTTTGATGTGTCAAGATTACCCTTCATTTGCTTTTTAAAAATAAATGTATTCGCAGGACGGAAGAATTTTAAAAATAAAATTTTTACTGTGGCTTCTCACTGATAATTCTGGAATGCATGGGAATTTTAATTTTCTAATCCTGGTTCATATAATCAGGGAGTACATTTTTAAGGAACTGTGTTTAACTGCAATCTTATTTTAAAATGTTTCACAAAAAGATAAAAATTTTGGCAACTATCTTGGAAATCATGCTTTTGTCAGATGAAATAATTATGTTTTTCGATAATTTTGGCAAACATTGAAAGGGAAAACGTGCTCTAGAAGAGGAAAAAATTCAAGTGCATGTAATAGCTTATTTAACATAAAATAAAATGCTATTCTATCCTTTTGGTATGGCTGAAATATTTCCTAAAAGCAAAAAATTAAAATTTATCAATAAAAGACTAAGTGATAGCTCAAAATGTAATAATTTGCTGTTGTTGTTATTCTTGGTATTAACTTTTTCTGTTATTTCCATTTGATAGTAATAACATATAGAAAGTGTTCAGGGTCTATGTCAAAGCCAAGATTGACCACTACAGAATGAGCATTCAAAAATAGTGGGAAGGCCTGGTGCGGTGACTCATGCCTGTAATCCCAGAACTTTGGGAGGCAGAGTTGGGCAGATGACGAGGTCAGCCTGGCTGACATGGCAAAACCCCCTCTCTACCAAAAATACAAAAAAATCAGCGGGGCATGGTGGGACGCACCTATAGTCCCAGCTACTCAGGAGGCTGAGGCAGGGGAACTGCTTGAACCCGGGAGGCAGAGGTTGCAGTGAGCCGAGATTGTGCCACTGTACTCTAGCCTGGGCACAGAGCGAGACTCCGTCTCAACAAAAAAGAAAAGAAAAGAAAAGAAAAAAAAATAGGCCGGGCATGGTACCCCACGCCTGTAATCCTAGCACTTTGGTAGGCGGAGGCTGGTGGATCACCTGAGGTCAGGAGTTCGAGACCAGCCTGGCCAACATGGCAAAACCCCATCTCTACTAAAAATAGAAAAATATTAGCTGGGCATGGTGGCGGGTGCCTGTAATCCCAGCTACTCAGGAGGCCGAGGCAGGAGAATCACTTGAAGCTGGGAGGTGGAGGTTGCAATGAGCTGAGACTGTACCATTGCACTCCAGCCTAGGCGACAAGAGTGAAACTCCATCTCAAAAAAAAAAAAAAAAAAAAATAGTGGGAAGAGTAGTGAAATGAATAATGGCCAGGCCTTATTTCTAAGAATCCATTTTAAAAATATATTTTAAAAAAAGATCAACCCAAGGTGATTCTGTATTGCCAGATCTTGTAAACTTTATGTGTCGTCAAAACAATGAGGTCTCCTGCATTCAAAAATGTGTATTTCTGATCTATACATTTTTATGTTGACATGTATTTTTCTGTCACTTATGGGGCATGTAGAAAAGTAACCAAGATACTCACTGGACCCAGTTCCTTCAGAGTAAAGCTTTCATTCCCTTTAGTTTGGATGATAACCATAGATTCTGTAACCCAATGATCAAAGATATAAAAGAAATTGAGATTCAAAGCTGACAACATTGACCTTTGGGATAAAATTCTCTAGCTACTGTATTCTTTCACAGAATGCTTAACCTTTTTTGGTTGACTCTCCAAAGATTCCACCCTCAATAAAGCAATTTTCTATAGCTAGAATTAACCCTTACATATGTTTTTAAAAACCTTGAATTAGGTTTTCCACATAGAACATGTTCAGTAAAGGATTTGAACTAATAAAGGATTTGGTTTTGGTCCACAGAAGACACGAAAATGATTATTTTCTAGCAGCCCATTTATTCAATCATCTATTCCTTCAACAAATATTTATTGACTGCCTTCTATACTCCAGGCACTGTGCTAGACATTGTGGGTACAGCAATAAAGAAAACACAGTCCTTAGTCTTGACCTAATAGAAAAGATAAATAAGGACAGATCCAATTACAATACTTAGTATATATGTTGTATGACCTGTGCTGGCACCTCACCCAGTCTCCAGCAGCCCAAGATTTCCCAGAGGAAATGCCAATTATGCTGAAATGTGAAGGACCAGTAGAAGTAATCCCAGGGGAAATGGCAGCATGCGGAGTAGGTGAGACCCAGGTAGAAAGTTGTTTCAGATAGAGAAAATGAGATTGGCAGAGAGATGGAGTGTGGGGCATTCCAGAAACACAAGCTATCTCACTACCGGGCGAGTAGATTTTTGCTCCCACTGCTGTATCCTGTTTACAACCTCTTTTGACATAGACAGGATAGTTAAGACAACATCTGTGAGCTTTTACCATATTTGGATGCAATTCTTTTTTCAGCTCTCAAATTTGGTGACAATACTATTTCCCTTTACATTTCTTCTCCCTCATGCCATGTTCTGCCCCTCCCAGTGACCTCTGCAGTCTGGCTCCTTTGCAATCTTCAGCTGCCTTCCGACTACGTCATTATCACCATTGAAGGGCTAATGAGACTGGACAGGAGGGCTGGTGCCTACCATACTGGTGCTTAAGTTCGACTCCCAGCTGCCTACATTTCTCTGGTTCACAGAATTCCACTGTTCTCCTTTCAGGAAGAAAAGGATTACAAGATTAGCTTCATGATACCATTTCCAGCCTACCATATATAGTAAGAGGAAGCAATTAAATGTGACTTCCATGACAACCTTTCAATCTTCAGCCAGACTCCCCACTAGGATATCTGTCTGGAGGGAGGCAGCAGGGGTTTCAACTATGTAGGTGAGGTCAAGGAGTATATAATTACAGCCAAGTGCTACAGAGTCTAACAACTCTTTTAGCCTCCTGCCGCAAACAGCAACCAGTGTGTGAATAAGGCACAAAACAGTTGCCCAAGTTAGAAAGCCAATATTGTGGGGAATCTGGAAGTCTAGCTTCCATGGGTAGTGCAAAAGAGAGTCCTTGAAGTAAATAGACTCAAACAGCTTTAGGAAACACTGTTAACCATGCCTAGCTAGCCTTGATTTCAGCTGCAATGGAGAAAAGAAATACATTTGTCAGAATCCTATCTTTTTTTTTTTTTCAAGACTCAGCCATTCCAAGAAGCCTTCCCAAAAGCATGAAGTCAGAATGGTCGTCAACAACAGTAAATCACAGAGATTTCTGGGGTATAAGAAGAAAAACAAATGCTTTTCAAACCATTACCTTCTCAAGGAAGGTGGATAGACCTTCTAAAGGAAAACTCAAGATCTCCACTTCTGTTTTGAGCTCATAAATGGAGAAAGAGTATTTTATTTAGGTGAACATTTTGAGATTTGGGTTGGCAAAGGAGGGCTTACTTACAGTGGAGTTTGAGGGATATGATTTGTTGTGCATCATAAAGAGAGGAGAATGTGGCATCCCTGGGAACTCTAAAGTATGGAAGGAGGACTGGGTCTAGGAGTCGAGGCAAAATCTCCAGCTTCAGGAAACCATTACAGCTGCGGAGAAACTTTGGCCCAGGCTTTAGGGTTCTTGTATCTCTCTCTTAAGAGGAGAGATGTCTGTTGACCTTGGAGAAGAAATGAAGCATGAACCTGGGACAAGAGCCCGTTAGTCCCACATGGTTCTAGCTGGTGCAGCACAGAGCCCTGGCAAACTAGGAGTTAGTAAGGACTCAGATGAAAAGATGGAGGGGGAAGGGAAAGGAGAAGTCAGCAAAACGGCAAATGGTGCTGTAGAGAGTGGCTTGACAGCAGGGGAAACAAGTGCTCTGAGGCAGGATGGCCCAAAGAACTTCTAGAAGCAGGAGAGCTAATATTCAGTTTTAAATAGCTTGCTTTTTTGCAGCATAAACTCCTCCTTAAAGCATCAGTGAAATCTGCTGCACATACAAGGGCTTTGAGTGAGTGACTATTTCTGGGAAATCAAGAAAAGTGGCTCAGGTCCAGGTCTGCATCCGTGTGAAACAAAACAAGAATGATATAGATAGGAGAGGGGGAAAAAAAAAAATAACATGAGCAGGACGCAAAAAACAGAGATAAGACCATGACAAATAAGCCCTCCAGAAATGTGCATAATCCTGTGTCATGAGTCTGACTTTTCTCAATTCTAGAATGGGGTATGGAGAAGGTAATCTTATCTAGACCTCAGGGGCAGGTGACTCAGCTATCTGTCACTCAAGTGATATATAATGATTCTGCTGAGGCTTATGTCATGTGATTTGAAGGATGCAACAAGAATTTCCTAAACAAAATATCTAATATTTCCTCTTGGCTTGTGCCAGAGCCTGAAATCAACACCATCATCATTCTTTCAGGGTGAAGCATGAAAATCTTCCCTTAAAATACAATCATACTCTGACACTCATTAGGATCACTACTATCAAATAAAAAAAAAAAACAAACCCAGAAAACAACAAGTGTTGGCAGGGATGTAAAGAAGTTGGAACTTTTGTGCACTGTTTATTGGGTTGTAAAATGATGCAGCCACTACGGAAAAGCGTGGCTGTTCTTTAAAAAATTACAAATAGAGCTACCATGTGGTCCAGAAATCCCATTTCTGGGTATATTTCCAAAATAATTGAAAGCAGGATCTCAAAGAGATATGTGAACACTCATGTTCTTAGCAGCACTATTCCCAATAGCAAAGAGGTGGAAGCAACCCAAATGTCCATTAATAGATGAATGGATAAACAGAATGTGCTATGTACATGCAATGGAATACCATGCTCCCTTAAGAAGGAAGGACATCTTGTTATGTGCTAAGACAGAAATGAACCTTGAGGACAGTATGTTAAGTAAAACAGGCCAGTCACAAAAGGACAATAACCATACGATTCCACTTATACGAGGTATCTAAAGTAGTCAAATGTATAGATATGAAAATGCAGAATGGTGGTTACCAGAGTTTGGGAGGAGGGGGAAGTAAGGAATCGTTTAATAACTACAGAGGTTCAGTTCTGCAAGACGAAAACCTTCCGGGGATCCATTTCATACCATTAGAGATAAGCTGAACCCTACAGAACTGTCCACTTAAAAATGGTTAAGATGGTAAATTGTATATGTTTTTTAACCACTATAAAAGTGCAACCATTTTCTGTATAACAGGTCATCTTAAACCATCCTCCTTTACACTTTGTTATGAATTAATTTATCAGATTAGCTTCATTCTCTGAAGGACAGATGTGTCAGTTTTTATAAAGAGGAGAGCCAAAAGGGTGTTAGGAAAGGGAGGCTCAGGGCATCATAGAAGTCTCTGGGCATCTGGGAAGATGACCAGGCACAGAAGCTAGGCAGCTAATGGAGAGTGGAGTGGGGACTGCAGAAGCATGAAAGAGAGCGGGGCAACACAAAGACATGAGAAAATGCACTAAAAATACATTTTTTCTCATATTTTCCCTGAAGCTGCTATCCTTGGGTGACCTCAAGAACTTACAGGCAGTGAAAAGTTGCCTTTGCAAAGGCTGCCCTGAGAGACACTCAGAATAACACGGCTTGAAGGGCCCTTCTGGCAAGCGCATCACAGCTGGGTTTCCAGGACCACAAAGGCAGACTGAAACTTTCTCCATTAGCTGTGAGTGTGCCCTGCTGAACCTTGTGGGCCCAGATGGTGCTTATTTTTAGGCACCTTCGTCTTTCCATGACTAACTGGGAACAGTAAAGTATGGAGCTGGGTCTAAGAGCCAAGGCAAAGTCTCTATTTCAGGAAAGCATTACAGCTGGGGAGAAGCTTTGGCTCAGCAGTCTCCTGGGTTCCTGCCCCTCTGTTAAAAGGAGAGACGTCTGTTCACCTTAAGCACAAACGGGGTCATGGACTTGGGGCTGAGGAAGCCCTGAGAACATATCAGTCCCAAATAGCTACAGCTGGTGCAAAAGGAGACTGGGCAAAGAGCTGCTGCTTGACTGTTACCCCGATGCTGCCCCGATGGGATGATTCTGCACTGATGGGCTTTCAGCACTTAGTCCTGGCCTGCCTGGGCCACTCATCCACCCGTGGGCAGGACTCCAAGCCTCCAACTTTCATGACTCTTTGCTCCAGGCCTTGCCCACACTGCATCAAGGCCAGCCTAGCATGAAGCTCTCATGTCCTCAGAAGGCACCTGGCAGAGAAGCTCAGTGTGTGCAGAAAAGAAGTACAAGGTTTTCTGAGAGTTCACTGAGTAAATACAGTGACACACATATAGACTAAGAACCTCAGTCCATTCACTTGGGTATGCAAAAAATTGTGCATTACCTACTCTTCCCATTCTTGAAATCACTATAATTCTGACTCCAAGCTCCACTCTCGCTGGACCTAGAAGTTAAACCTACGCTTTCTTGGGTTTCCTCCTGCAAATATGTAAAAGTCCTGGGGTCTTAACTAGCTTCAAGATGGGGAATGCCCTCAAGGTGTCAGTTGCGGGTCCACACTGGCTGTGGCTGAGACACCCATTATCCCAGGTTCTGCTGCTTCTTTGCCAAGACTAGAAATCTCAGATGAAACAGGGGAACACAAGTGGGAGAACCCAAGCCTCCTACAGGTGCCCTTCCTGTCAACACTTCCCCCCTGAGGCCTTCTCACAACCTGAGTAGGGTACAAATTCTGAGGGCAGGATCTGTCTCTCCCTCCCAGTCACCAGAAATCTCTCCTTCCAGCCTTATTGTTTCTCATATGGCCTGTTCCACTCCAGCCCCCTCCAGGACACACTTCAACCATTTAGGATCTTAGGACAGAGTCTTGAATTTCATTAAAGCTTTTTCTGCTTTCAACCCTGATAAATCCCTGAGATAAATAATCACAAAGCTTGGCCAACATTAGGGGTTAGTATCTCCATTTGAAATAAAGCACAGGTAGCTGAAGTGATGTGTACCATGTGTTGGAGGCAAAACCTAGACAAAGAAGCCAGGTGTGCTGATTGTAGGCAAGTGTCCTGTCCAGGATGCCACCAAATTGCAAGTCAGAGAGCATGCAGCAAATGCTGGCTTTGGAACTAGCAGGCAAGAAACTGAAGGCTCACTTGTGTTTTATTATCAACACTGGGGAAGCTGAATAAAACCAGCTAGTGGTGGGCAGGGAGCCAGCATTGGCTTGATTAGATCTTCACTCTGTGGTTACCAGCCAGTGCCATCCAGGGAGAGCCTGAATCTGGAGGAGAGGCTGTGCTGCCAGTGCAGCCAGCACCTGTGTTTGACTATTTCTACTGCTTGTTTCAAGCAAACAGGCAGTGACGCAAGAAAGGCAGGAAAGAGGACTCTCTGAGCCTGGCATCTGGTGAGGCCAAGTTTTACTGAGCATGCACATTGCTTTTCTACCATCTTGAGGATAAACCACTTGCCCCTCGGTCAGAAGCTCTCCTAACTAGAAGATGTCTTATTTTGGAAACAAAAGCTAAGTAATGGGTTGACTCCTTGGTGTTTATCTCTCTGAAGTCAGCTTCATATATTTGGGGGCTGGAAGGGATTAGGAGACAGGACTGTTGGAAGCTACATCAGGAAGGTGGCTCTATTTTCTGAGATGTCCTCTGACTTTTTTGCAGAGCATCTCACTTCCCTCTGGACACCCCCACCTTCTTGCACCTGGCATCACCACACTGCCTTGCTCCCTTTCTCAGGATGCCACCCAGACCTGAACTTTCCGGCCACTGTATCAAGCACAAAAATGATACTGCCTTCATCATGCTCATCAAAACTGCCATTTTCTGGATGTCATGCTGTGTAGAATGGGGTAGCAGTGGTGAATGGGCCCACATAAATAATTCATTCTAAAACATGAGCCCTGCCAATATTGTTATATAAAAGAAACTTTCCAATGGAGTATAAACTTTACCACAAACTTGAGAATTTGTGTCAGCTCTGTTCGCTACCATGATTTGATAGAAAATTATCTCATTAAACCCAAAAAAACAGGCCAGTAATAATAATATGGTTGAAAATGAGCCTCAAGAGAAATATTTAGTAACATTTGCCAAGTTTGGAATGTAATACATTATTTTGCTATTGTTGAAATCCTCAGCAATAATAACAATGTTGAAAAAGTACTTTCTCAGAAGGGCTGGTAATTTCATAAGTTTAACTCTAATGTATTTGTATACAGAAAATGAATGATATATTGAGCTCCAAAAGAAATAAGGCCCATGGGGCAAAAGGGATATGATCAGGGGAAGGTCAGGTCTTTACTAGACAAGAGGCCTGAGATAAAATAAACATGGTCTTGTGCAGAATTTTTTAAATTTCATGTAATGAGGGTTGTGGAATCAATTCCATGAGTTTTAACCAAACTTCTCTTTGGTATGAAATGGAAATGCAATAAACTATACCACAGATAGTAAGGTCAGTATACACATGTATATAATATATACGAGTTTGAATAATATAAAATGTAACTATGACTGAGGATTGTGGTTTAAAATGTTTGAAAGCAACAAGTTCAAGGCACTGGTTTTAAATTATTTTTAAGCTCAGAATTTTTATGTGGAAGCTTAATATGTAAAATAGATCAAAACAAATCTGTCATCACTGCAGGCACTGGTGAAGGGGGCAGAATTCGGCCCTGTCAGCTCACTACAATCCACCTTCCCGTGAGCAGCAGAATTCTGAAAACCACAGGTCCAGAAATTACACTGCTCCAGAAATTACACTCTGTCAGTTCCCCTAGTATAAGCGTCAAATTGATTCTTACTATTGAGGTTTGAGGGACCCAATAATAACACCACCTATTCCACCTAAATTCTGAATTGAGAGAGACAATAGGATCAACAGATGACAGTCAACTATCAACAAAATACTAATAAAGGCTAGGTTGGGGACTGTACTTAAGTGCAGGGTATCAGTGGATTTCCTAATTTAACTGGCAGAATTAGATAGACCTATGCAGTCACGGCAGCACCGGAAACCTGGAAGGCCCCAACCCTAATTCCCACTCAGAGGCAGAGACTCAGAGCAGACAAGCCCATCCCAAAAGCAAAGGGATGAGAAAGGCTAAGCTAGGCATGCCCCATTCAGAGAAGCCAGGAGTGCTATATTAATTGATACCTCTCCACAAGGAAATAGGAATCAGGTGGAAAAGAGGTTCCTCTCCATGACACTTAGCAAAATGATGTATGCTTTTTCTTCATAGCACTTACTGCAATTAGAATTAATGTCTGCCTCCCTTAGTAGACTATAGACTTTTTGAAGGCAGAGGCTATATCTATTCTATATCCTGTTATATTGCTAGCATCTAGCACACATTTCATGCTCAACAAATATGTGCTACATGAATAAGACTAATGTAAAAATACTGTCAATATAATAGACCACCTATACCCCACTTTCAATACCAAGGTATTTGAGAATTGAATCATATTCATTCAATGTCAAGCAAAACTGAGGCAGGCCTACTCTTGAGAGTATTTGAAAGATTGTATTTACTCACCCTGGTGAACAAAGAAAAAAATTAGTCCTGGCAGGGCATGGTGGCTCATGCCTGTAATCCCAACACTTTGGGAGGCCAAAGCAGGTGGATCATCTGAGGTCAGGAGTTCAAGACCAGCCTGGCCAACATGGTATAACCCCGTCTCTACTAAAAATACAAAAAAAAAAAAATTAGCTGGGCATGGTGGCACATGCCTGTAGTCCCAACTACTCAGGAGGCTGAAGCAGGAAAATCACTTGAACCTGGGAGGCAGGGGTTGCAGTGAGTCAAGATCATGTCACTGCCCTCCAGCCTGGTGACAGAGTGAGACTCTTTCTTACAAAAAACAAAAAACAAAAAAACAAAAAAAACACCTAGTCCTACTCAAGGAAAAGAAGCCGTGAAAAAGTAGGAAATCTACCCCCATGAGAAAGAACAACCAGAGCAAAGCTTCCCTCTTCTGGAAAGTCTATCAGGTTCCTACAGTTTCCTAGAAGAAAAGCCTTTCTCTCATGTGGTCTCAAACTCTTCTCTGTGAGTAAACTATAAATCACTTCTTTCATCTTCTGTGAGAAAACAACTTTGACTTATCAAGCCTACCTTTTAACGTGGCTTTTGCCTACCATATCTACAAGGTGATGAAGCTGTTATAATCAACAAATCCAAGAGAAGTAGCTATTTAAATAATAAGAATTGTAGCCATGTTTCCTCGTGCCGTAAGTCCATGCTCTTAGGGGGCATTAGGTCTCCAGCCAGTAAAGAGTCTCATTCACAACAGCAGCATGTGAGGTCAAGTGGGAATGTACAGAGACACTAAGAACAGCCCTCAGCCAAAAATCTCTCCTTTATTCATCCCATATTGTAGACTCCACTGGGGGAAGGCTATGAAAACTCCTATTTAGATTTAAATATATTTTGAGAAGGCAAGCTTCTTTGACCTTTATGTCACACCCTTTATGGACTTAGAGCCCATCAATAAGGGTTATTGATAATTTAAACAGAAATTACTTATACCCTCTCTACTAAAAAGAGCAACATTTTATTTATTTATTTATTTTTTATTATTATTATTTTTGAGACGGAGTTTCGCTCTTATTGTCCAGGCTGGAGTACAATGGTACAATCTCGGCTCACCACAAACTCCACCTCCTGGGTTCAAGTGATTCTCCTGCCTCAGCCTCCCAGTAGCTAGGATTACAGGCATGCGCCACCATACCCAGCTAATTTTGTATTTTTAGTAGAGATGGGGTTTCCCCATGTTGGTCAGGCTGATCTTGAAGTCCTGACCTCAGGTGATCTGCCTGCTTCAGCCTCCCAAAGTGCTGGGATTACAGGTGTGAGCTGCCGTACCCAGCCAAAAAAGAGCAACATTTTAATAATGAAACAACAAATTATTATTTGTTTTTTCTTCAACTTTTAAGTTTGGGGGACATGGGCAGGATGTCCAGGTTTGCTACACAGATAAATGTGTGCCATGGCGGTTTGCTGCACAGACCAACCCATCACCTAGGTATTAAGCCCAACATCCATTAGCTATTCTTCCTGATGTTCTCCCTCCCCCTAACCCCACAACAGGCCCCAGTGTGTGTTGTTCTCTCCATTGTGTCATTCAGCTCCCACTTATAAGTGAGAACATGCAGTGTTTGGTTTTCTGTTCCTGCATTAGTTTGCTGACAATAATGGCTTCCAGCTCCATCCATGTCTCTGCAAAGGGCATGATCTCATTTTTTTTATAGCTGCCTAGTATTCCATGGTGTATATGTACCACATTTTCTTTATCCAGTCTATCATTCATGGGCATTTGGGTTGATTCCATGTCTTTGCTGTTGTGAATAGTGCTTCAGTGAATATACGCATGCATGTATCTTTGTAATAGAATGATTTATATTCCATTGGGTATATATCCAGTAATGGGATTGGAGGGTCAAATGGTATTTCTGGTTCTAGGTCTTTGAGGAATCATCACTCTGTCTTCCCCAATGGTTGAACTAATTTACATTCCCACCAACAGTGTAGAAGCATTTCTTTTCCTCCACAACCTTGCCAGCATCTCTTGTTTTTTTGACTTTTTAATAATCGCCATTCTGACTGGCGTGAGATGGTATCACATTATGGTTTTGATTTTCATTTCCCTAATGATTAGAGGCACAATTATTTTTAATATAAAAGCACTAGGGCCGGGCGCAGTGGCTCACGCCTGTAATCCCAGCATTTGGGAGGCCAAAGTAGGCAGATCACCTGAGGTCAGGAGTTCAAGACCAGCCTGGCCAACATGGCAAAATCCCATCTCTATTAAAAACACAAAAATTAGCTGGATGTAGTGGTGGGCACCTGTAATCCCAGCTACTCGGGAGACTGAGGCAGGAGAATCCTTTGAACCCAGGAGGTGGAGGTTTCAGTGAGCTGAGATAGCGCCATTGCACTCCAGCCTGGGCAACAAGAGTGAAACTCCATCTCAGAAAACAAACAAACAACACAACAATGACAACAACAAAAGCACTAGACTAAATGATAAACTCAAAGTTAAAGATGGTAGTTACCTCTGGGGTGGGGCATACAGTGGAGAGAAAAGAGTTTGGTTACTCAGGAAACGTCAAAGTTAACTATAACATTCTTGTTTTTCAAAGTAGGTAGGCACATAGATTTTTCATTTTATTTTTATTCTTTACCTTTATACTTACTGAATTATTATTGGACTGTTAAAAAGTCTATTTTCTAATAAAGCAATAGGTTGAGAACAGATGAGAAGTATGATCTGTGAATTTGTATTCATAGATCATGAATACAGCTGCTTATTCTTCAAACGCTTCAAGTGCCTACTATGAGCAAGGTGCCATGTTAGGTTTTGATAGTGCAAGACTAAATGAGACACAGTCCCTCTTTTCAAAGAGTTCTGAGTCTATTTATCTAAAAATTGGCACTGAGTAAGGAATATATACCCATACATGAACCAATCTGATAAAATTCAGAGCACAAAATTAATTCCGTACAGTAGGATTTCTCGAGTCCTCTATCACACATAATTGACCTGAGGAATTTTGCGCAGGCACAGAAAGGGTGAGAACAAAATCATAAGCTGACAGCTCTAAAAGTCTCTGAAGTGGGACATCCAATTTTCTAGGTACGTCGGGGGCTACAGGGGCACCCCTCTGTGCCATGCTCTCTCCTTTGACAAGTGATGAACACAATTCAGAATTCTAAGAGATAGCCCCATAGCTTAAAAATTGCACCAGGAAATGATGGCCAGCTCACTCAGAAAATTTGTTATTTTGAAATCATCTGTTAAAATATACACCCATTGCCCACAGCCTTGAGAAAGTGACACATAGTCATTTGAAAATATGAGGGTGTTTAGCATGTGCATGCCAGCTCATCTCTATTAATGTGAAAAGTCATTTCCTTTTCTTTGAACTAATTTGATTTGGTTTGCTTAAGGGCCTCAATTCCTTTCTTTCACCTTCATTTTAGAGCTGCTATGAAATTCAGCCCTTGGCCTACAGAGAGGCTCCAAATTGTCTTGCCTCCTTGCTCATGCATACCACATTTCATGTCTGTGACATACAACTCATTTTTATTTGCAATTATTTTGTAGCTTTCAGACAAAGAGAAGTTGAATTGCATTACAAAGAGGTAAGAAAGACATCTAATGTGCTAAAGTATTTTAAAAGAAATTGAAGTGAATATGTGCTGTGGATTTATTGGCAAAATAATCATTATGTTCAAGTGAGAAGTGGCTAATAAAGATGTAGCCTATGAGAACTAGGAAGGTAAAGCAGAAAGAACATGGGATTTAGTACAACGAATACTTCTTTTAAATTCTAGTTCTGTCACTTGTTAGTCACATGACCATTCTTTGCCTTTGGCAGGTTCTTTGCCTTTAAAATAGGGGTAAAAAATCATACCCTTGAGAAATAAATGACAGAATGAAAGCCCATGAGCCACTACCAAATTGTAGATGCATAACTCTTGATATTTTCATGATATGCTATGTTAAAACAATGTTAAAGTATAATTGATAAATGTAAAACTTAAGGAAAGCGTTATTATCTGCCAAAGTTCCTGTTGCTGAATTTCAAGATGCTCAAAATCAATTTTACAACTCAATAGACAGTATGTAAGCACTGAATTACATCAGTTGTAGAATACCACATGTCAGTGATTTTTCAATTTTAGTTTGTACATATATATAAATAACATGGAAGTTGTGAAAAATAATAAGGTAATGGGTTCTCCCTCTAGAGAAGCTGGTTTAATACTGCCTGGCATGGTCTAGTAATCTGTATCCTTAATGTACCTCCCAGGTAATTCTGATGGAGATGATCCTCAACCATATTTTGATCAATTCAGCCTTATGAAAAATGTATTTATGTACTTAGAATGTATTTACAAGACTTAAAAAAAAAAAAGATGGCTCAGATCAGCCATCACCTTTTATACTAAAAACTGTGATTTCCAGGATATCAGTGGGAATGGTAGAAAGAAGATCTCCAAAAATCTGTTCCTCTATAAAATCAATGAAAATATGGGTAAATTTCATGAAAATCAACTTCTTTCAGAACTCTGGAAATTAACAAAAGGCTTACAACTATCTGAGAAAGATTTATTCAATATAAATGGCTGAATCATAATAAGCACAGCAAGATTTTAGGAGATTTAACTTGCGCTTTTCCCATTCTACCTTCCACAGCTCTGAAATAGCCTTGGAAACAGATAGGCTCACCACATCGGTAGCCATGAAAAACAGCTAAAACTAGAACTAGGCAGAAGACCAACAAGAAAATGGATAGAAAACATTGACAACATTATAAGCCTACTAGATCTAACAGACATCTACAGAGCACTCCATCAAACAACAGCAGAATACACATTCTTTTCAAGTGCACATGGAACACTCTCCAGGGCAGACAATGTGTTAGACCTAAAATGAGTCTCAATACATTTAAAAAGATTGAAATCATGCAAAATATGTTCTCTAACCACAAGGGAATAAAACTAGAAATCAGTAACAGAAGGAAATTTGAGAAATACACAAATATGTGAAAATTAAACAATATATTCCGAACTAATAAAACAGAAATCAGAAGGAAATTTTAAAATATTTTGAAACGAATGAAATGAGAGCACCACATGCCAAAACTTGTGGAATATAGCTAAAGCAGTGCTTAGAAGGAAATTTATACCTGTAAATGCCAATTTTTAAAAGGAAGATATCAAATTAATAACCTAAGCCTCCATCTTAAGACCTCCCACCTAGAAAAAAAAAAAAAAAGAGCAAATTAAGCCCCAATCCAGCAGAAGGAAAGAAATAGTAGAGATTGGAGTAGAAATAAATGCTACAGAGAATTAAAAAAAAAACAGAGAATATTGATGAAACCAAAAGTTAGTCTTTGAAAACAGCAAAACTGACAAATCTTTATTTAGCTAGACTGACCAAGAAAAAAGAAACACTCAAAGGTTTAGAGGGTTTCACTGGAAAATTCTACCAAGTATTTAAAGAAAATCTAACACCAATCCTTCATGAACTCTTCCAAGAAACAAAAGAGGAGGGAACACATTCCAATTCACTCTATGAGGCCAGTATTACCCTGCTACCAGAACTAGAAAAAGATATCATAAGAAAACTACAGACCAATGAATGTACAATGAACAAAATCCTTAACAAAATATTATTAGGTAGCAGCTGAATCCAGCAACATATGAAAGAATTATACACCATGACCAAGTAGGATTTATTTCAGGAATGTGGTTTGATTAACTATGGGGAGAAAAATAAATCATTGTAATATGCCATATTAATGCAATAATGGACAGAAACCACATAATCATATCCAGAGACACAAGGCATTTGATAAAATCTAACACCCTATCATGATGAAAATACTAAACACACTAGGAATAGGAGGGAATTTCCTCCACCTGATAAAGAGCATACATGAAAACGCACAGATGACATCATACTTAATGGTGAAAGACTGAAAACTTTCCCTCTAAAATCAGAAACAAAGGGTAGATGTCTGCTCTCAAAGCTTCTTTCATCACTGTACTGTAGGTTCTAATCAGTACAATCAGGCAAGAAAATAAAAGGCATCCAGATTTAAAGAAAGAAATATCTCTATTCGCAGGTAACATAATCTTATATATACAGTGTACTTAGAAATCCATGAAAAAACCTATTCAAACTAATAGAAGTTCACTAAGATTGCAGGCTATAAAATCAATACACAAAAGCAATTGTATTTCTATATACTAGCAATGAACAATCGAAAAATAAACTAAGGGAAAAATAAATTTATAATAGCATCCAAAAGAATAAAATACCTAAAAATAAATTTTATCCATGTTGTGTAAGACTCATATACTGAAAACTACAAAACAACATTGAAAGAAACTAATGAAGACCTAAAAAAAAAATAGAAAGACATCC